>NC_000017.11:10188080-10339595 GCF_000001405.40 Homo sapiens | reverse complement strand
TCTGTTTACCCCAAAGTTAAATACCACTACATTTGGCAAATAATCATCTTGGGTATCCCATAATCAAAATAGCATCAATAACAACTGTTTGAAGCCATACTGCATGTCAATCACTTTGTTATATTACCTCGAATCCTTGCAACAGTTCTCTGCAAGATACGCGTATTGATCTCCAGTTTATAAATGAGAAAACTGAGAATCAGAGACTATATATAAATACAGAACCCTGTGCAATACAGACTATATATAAATATAGAACCCTGTGCAATAGAGGACTCCTTTAACTGTCACTTCATCCTGATTTGCGAATATTCTTGGAGTCTAGCTTTTTCAGTGTCATTTGTCACAAAAAGGAAAACAAACTGTCACACGGAGCTGTGGCTATGGGGTAGCTAACTCACCAGCTGAGCTGTTCTATGCCCAACACGGGCCTCCCAGCTCAGGATTAAACATTCTGCCTCTGCAACATTATGAGTGAACAGAGGTATACGTTGTCGGGGGGTTGGGGGGGAAAAGTTCACCTATTACCACGTGATCCTAAGCAGAGTATTTGAGCACTTTCTGCCTCAGCTTTCTTGTCCATAAAACAAGGATAGGCCGGGCACAGTGGCTCACGCCTGTAATCCCAGCACTTTGGGAGGCCGAGTCGGGTGGATCACGAGGTCAGGAGATCGAGACCATCCTGGCTAACATGGTGAAACCCCGTCTCTACTAAAAATGCAAACAAATTAGCTGGGCGTGGTGGCGGGCGCCTGTAGTCCCAGCTATTCGGGAGGCCGAGGCAGGAGAATGGCGTGAACCCGGGAGACGGAGCTTGCAGTGAGCCGAGATCGTGCCACTGCATTCCAGCCTGGGCGACAGAGCGAAACTCCGTCTCAAAAAAAACAAACAAAAAAAAAAAAAAAACAAGGATAAAAGTGGCATTTTAATCTATTATTTACTTCTTTAATAAGCACTCATAAAGTGGTTACTCACTTTGCAAATATTAGCTCATTTAACCCACCTTAGAGGGTTGTCGTGAGGGTTCAATGAGTAAGTGCAAGTCAAGCATTTACAACAGGGCTGAGCACATTGTGAACACCCAGCAAATGTTGGATGCTAATTATTATTATTATTATTATCACTCAGAACTATAAACTTTAAATCCCCAATAGCCAGGTGTGTTATAGTTAGTGAAACTGCATCTTCCATGAAAGTTAGGTTCTAAAGTCTAAGTCAAAAGCAATAACCAACTACATCATTGTGATATATGCATTATCTGGGGCATCCTGCAGCCTCCTGACCAATGAGCCGGCTTCTCCAGTGTTGGGAAGAGTGGTTTCTTTGGTTAAGAATCACACGAAATCATTGGCTTGTAGTAGGTCTTGGAAAATATCCATTTCTGTTACTGTCGTCGTTGAGTACATGTTTGCATAAATCAAACATGCTTGTGGCCTGACTCCTCTCTAAGCAGATGGCCTGCAAGGTGGTGGGGGATGGCTTCAAACTGTGCCTCTGGGAGGAATGCTTTTGGTAATCCACTGGCTTACTTTTTTTTCTTTTTTGAGACAGACTCTCGCTCTGTCGCCAGGCCGGAGTGTAGTGGCACGATCTCGGCTCACTGCAACCTCCAACTCCCTGGTTCAAGCTATTCTCCTGCCTCAGCCTCCTGAGTAGCTGGGACTACAGGCACACATCATCATGCCCAGCTAATTTTTGTACTTTTAGTAGAGATGGGGTTTCACCATGTTAGCCAGGATGGTCTCGATCTCCTGACCTCGTGATATGCCCACCTCAGCCTTCCAAAGTGCTGGGATTACAGGCGTGAGCCACCGCGCCCGGCCCTACATTTTCTTTGGGAAGGTAAATGTTGCTGAAATGTCTGTCCTTTCCTGTTGCATTTGCTTCTCCTTAGCTCTGGCACCTACCTCTCTGTTTTCATGTCAATTTCTGGGAATAGCCCAACACGAATACAGAAGCCTGGTGACACCTTAGAAAGCAGCTAGTGTGCCCTCTTTATTTTCTAGAAGACTAGAGACTATGGAGATTTCCATGCCTTACCCCAGGGCACCTAGAGCAGGGGCTGGGAGTCACGATCCATGATCAAATCTCAAGTCCCTCCCCACCCACAGGCACATACGGGGCTTGCTAGTTGTTCTCCCAAATCCTCTAGGACTTCACGGGCACAGGTCCTCTGCTCGCCTGCTGAACAAGGGCCCCTCGGGAGCAGGCTCCAGCCTCTACTCCTCTCGTTCTCCTCTTGCAGCAAACCTGGAGCCTGCTAAGTCTGTGCTGCTGACTCACCAAAAGCTGGCTTGCTGCTGTTTTTAAATGTAGGTTTTATTATTGTTAAGGGATGGTGAGGCCAACAGACCAGAAGATGGTTACCATTAAAAAGACAGTCACGCCCGGGCATGGTGGCTCACGCCTGTAATCCCGACATTTTGGGAGGCTGAGGTGGGTGGATCACCTGAGGTCAGGAGTTTGAGACCAGCCTAACATGGCGAAACCCTGTCTCAACTAAAAATACAAAAATTAGCCTGGCGTGGTGGTGCATGCCTGTAATCCCAGCTACTTGGGAGGCTGAAGCAGAATTGCTTGTACCCAGGAGGCGGTGGGTGCAGTGAGCCGAGACTGCACCACTGCACTCCAGCCTCAGTGACAGAGGGAGACTCCTTCTCAAAAAAAAAAAAAAGACACAGTGCTCAAGAGGAGGGGGCCTGCCACAGAGGGCCACGAGGGGAAGCACCAGAGCTAGGTTTGGGGTTGGGGGAGTAAGGAGAAATCACAGGCCAGAGCCTCGAGGGTCATTCCCATGGGATGGAGCAGGCGAGGTAGCATGAACAGGCCAAGCAGGTTCAGCATTGCCAAGTTTGAATGGTTTCAGCAGGCTTCAAAATGTAGGGACTTTCTCAAGTTGGCCGGTACCTGGGGCCCTGAGGTGACCAGGACAGGGAAGTATTGGCCCAGAGTGTAAGAGCCCTGTGAGAGCCTGATAAAGGTAGGGGTCGGGGGTTAAGGGCTTTGGATGGCTGGTTTGCATGTGAAAGACGTGCTTGCAGGAGGCTTTTTTGCCATCTCCTGGAATGGCTAGCCCCGGGAAGGGCAGTCTCTCCTGAGCCAGCGAGGAGGCCCCATGATGCCGGATCATCATAAGATACAGCATATTTCAAAAGCATGGCTAATACCACTGCCCACAGAGGCCAAGATGGCTGGAGAAAGGAGTGGGATGGAAGTGATACACTTGGAGAAATAAAGAGGAAAAACCCTTCAGCGGCTGGAGCAGAAGGATGAGAGAATAGCTCAGGGGAATTTTTAGAAGTTTTACGCATTGGTACAAAAGCAAAGGAGGCCCTTTACGTGGACCTGATAGAAAACATCTCAGGCCGGGTTTAAGGAAAAACAAAGCAAGCCCTAAGAGAACTCAGCTCAGGATTCTGAGTCTGCACAAACCAGAGGGGCCCTGTGAGAGAGAAGAGTGGCGTCTCGGCTCTGCTACAGCTTTGCAAAGCCCTTCACCTCTCTGGGCCTCAGTCTCCCCCAGTGCCCCGCCACCCCATAGGATGCCTCTGCGGGAATTAGAAAAGATCTCCCAGTCCAAGTCGGACACGACCCCTAACAGGATGGACAGCCTGGCAAGCATGGTGGCATCTCTGGCCTCCCCACTGTAAAATGATGGTCCTTTCAGCTTTCTTCTGGCTCTAGAAGCTTCAATTCTCTTGTAACTATGCCTTTTTCTCTCTGCTCCCGGTGCTTAAGAAGAAAGAGGCCTCAGCCACATGGTTAAAGCAAGTGTTAATCATGCCTGCTTTCACCATTTTAACCTTTGTACTCATCTTTTCTCTCTCTCTCTTTTTTTTTCAAGACAGGGTCTCACTCTGTCGCTCAGGCTGGAGTGCAGTGGCGCCATCTCAGCTCACTGCAACCTCTGCCTCCCCAGTTTAAGCAATCCTCCTGCCTCAGCCTCCCGAGTAACTGGGATTTACAGGGACGCACCACCACACCCAGCTACGTTTTCATATTTTTAGTAGAGAAGAGGTTTCACCATGTTGGCCAGGGTGGTCTCGAACTCCTGACCTCAGGCGATCCGCCCACCTCGGCCTCCCAAAGTGCTGGGATTACAAGCGTGAGCCATCGCACCGGGCCTGTACTCATCTTAACTCATGTAATCCTCAACCACCTGATGAAGCAGATACTACAGGTTGATTATCCCTTTATCTGAAATGCTTGGGACCACGAGTGTTGTGAATTTTAAATTTCTGTGGATATTGGAATATTTGTATGTGCCTAATGAGCTATCTTGGGGATGGGACCAAGTCTAAACACAAAATTCATCTGTTTCATATGGGTCTTATACACATAGCCCTAAGGTAATTTTATACAATATTTTAAATAATTTTGTACGTGAAACAGTTTTGGCTGCGACCTGCCTCATGAGGTCAGTCGTGGAATTCTCCACTTGTGGCATCAGGTTGGAGCTCAAAAGTTTTCAGGTTTTGAGTTTTCTGAATCGGGATGCTCAACCTACATTATTATCCTTATTTTACAAATAAAGAAATTGAGGCAGAGACAGGCCAAGTCCGCGAAGCTAGTAAACAGCATAGCTGGGATCTTAACCACTCAGAATCATCATCTGAGAGCTCATGGGAGTCGAATTAGACCATTGCTAAGGTTCTCTCCACATCGGCGGTTCTATGAATTTTTTAATTATTGTATTTATTTATTTATTTATTTATTTGAGACTGAGTCTTGCTCTGTCACCCAGGTTGGAGTGCAGTGGCACAATCTCGGCTCACTGCAACCTCCGCCTCCTGGGTTCAAGCGATTCTCTTGACGCAGCCTCCCGAGTAGCTGAGACTACAGGCACCTGCCACCACGCCCGGCTAATTTTTGTATTTTTAGTAGAGATGGAGTTTCACCATGTTGGCCAGGCTGGTCTTGAACTCCTGACCTCAGGTGATCCACCCACCTCGACCTCCCAAGTGCGGTGATTACAGGCATGAGCCACTGCACCTGGCCAGTTCTCTGAATGTCTGAGACATTTTCTCCTTGCTCTCAACCATGTTTTCTCTAGAGAATCACCACCTGATAGGACTTTCAGAAATGATTAAATGCCCCATGTCTGCACTGTTCAATAGGGTGGCCACCGTTACATGAAATGTTTACATTTACATGAAAAGTTTTAAAATGTTAATTAATTTTTAATTTTAATGAATTTAAATGTAAATAGCCACATGTGGCTGGTCACTACGGTATCTGACAGTGCAGCTCTACCAAAGCCTTAAAAATCATCTAATTGTATAGTGATGTCTCCCCACAGCTACCAGGGAACCACGTGGGCATTCTAGAAGCTTCCCTAAGGTTAAGTCAAAGCCAGCCTTGGCCCCACCACTCCCACCCCGGCAACTTAGGGAGCCCACAAAGAGAAGCCATCAGGTTGCCGTAGCCCCTGTCCTCTAACCCCTCACGCAGACCTGAGACAGAATTTTCTCCATCCTAGTTTGATTTGTGCCTGACCCAGGCTGGTTACCACGAGCACCCACATTACCTCCCCAAAGGGGCTTGCCCCTCTAGCTCCTCTCCTTCCAGCCAAGCTCCATTTCTCCCCCAATTCCTATAGCAGGGGCTGAGTGGTCAGCAGATGACCGCCGCCCTACCTTCAACCCCCTTCTGGGTCCCCTCCCACGGCCTCTTCTTTTTTTTTTTTTGAGGTGCAGTTTCACTCTTCTTGCCTAGACTGGAGTGCAGTGGCTCAATCTCAGCTCACTGCAACCCCCGCCTCCTGTGTTCAAGTGATTCTGCTGCCTCAGCCTCCCAAGTAGCTGGGATTACAAGTGTGTGCCACCACATCTGGCTAATTTTTGTATTTTTCTGTAGAGACTGGGTTTCACCATGTTGGCCAGGCTGGTCTCGAGCTCCTGACCTCAGGCGATACACCCACCTCGGCCTCCCAAAGTGCTGGGATTATAGGCATGAGCCACCGCGCCCAGCCGGCCTCCTCTTCTTTGCTGGGTTACTCTTCTGCAGCCACAGCCTGCAGATTTTTCCATCCCCATCTTTGTGTAGATGCAAGAAGACATCTCGGGTTATCCCATGGGAAGCCCAAGTGCACCCTGTACTCACTCTGCAGCTTTTGCAGCCTTGCTGCAGAGTCAGGGCTGAGGACAGAAAGCACAATGCTTTGGCTCTTACTGCCACGGTTATGGGGTGCTAGCATCTCCCCAAGAGGGTGGGATTATTTCACTGCGGGACCTGCAGGCAGGCTCTAGCCACCCCCAGCCCTCTACCTTGGAGCTGGCACTGACTCTCCCACTCACTGACTCTCCCACTCAAGTGTGGATGTGTTGGAGGGTCTCATGGTGCCTCAGACCATCAACAACAAATGAAGGGGTCACAGGCACACCCCCGGGACGTTCTCTCTCCAGGTGTGATGGACCACTACTTGGTCATGCACCAGCTGCGCTGTAACGGGGTCCTCGAGGGCATCCGGATTTGCAGGAAGGGATTCCCCAGCCGGATCCTCTATGCTGACTTCAAGCAGCGGTAGGTTCCCTCTCTCCTGTGCATCTCTCTCCTTCCGAGGGCACCTTTTGCATTTCCCTAAGACATTTCTTGACCTGGGTATTTGGTGAGCTCCCAAGTCCCCCAGAGTTTCCACAGACTTCATCTCTTGCTAGAGGAACTGATCCCATGCCCACAGTGAGTGGGCCAGCCCAAGTGGTTCCAAATTCAGATCCCAGACCCTCTAGCCTGATTGTGACTCTAGACCAGGATGTCTCAACTTCTGTACTATGGACACTCAGGCTAGATCATCCTTTATTGTGGAGGCTGTGCTGGGTGTGGGAGGATTTTAGCAGTAACCCTGCCCTCTACTCAAGAGATGTGGTAGCAAACCACACCCCTCCCCACTGAGCTGTGACAATCAAAACTCTCTAGACATTGCCAAATCACACCCAGCTGAGGCCCGCAGCTCTAGACTAACTCTCTCCTCTGAGCCACCATTGGGTTGCACAAGTCCGGGCCTTGTCCAGGATGGAGGACAGGAGAGGACCTTCCAGAAGTAGGAGAACCACGGCCTACAGGTCACGGTTGATTTCAAGGCCTCTTTTAAGCCAGAGAAGAACCATTTCCTCTGAAAGCAAACTTCCCGCCATGCACTCAGCTGGGCTCCCTTCTTTCATGCTTCTCTCCCACCCACCTTGCTTCTCTCCCAAGGGGGCTGATTCAAGCCCCCTTGCTAGAATCAGTCCCTAGCTATTCCCATCTCCCAGACCAGCTGTACAGTATTCCACTTCCTCCTAAGGCTTGAGCAGGAGAAGATTCTAGAAGGCTGGTCTCAGCTATGAAGCCTTTCGGGGATTGGAATCCATTTGGGAAATGTCCTCTCTCCTTAGGTACCGGATCCTCAATGCCAGTGCTATCCCTGAAGGGCAGTTCATTGACAGCAAAAATGCCTCAGAGAAGCTCCTCAACTCCATCGATGTGGACCGGGAGCAGTTCAGGTTCGGCAACACCAAGGTGAGCACAGGCAAGGCTGGGACTCCCCTAGTAACCCCACAGCCCTGGGCTGCTTCTTAGCTGATCAGAAAAAGGGTCCCCTTCTCCTTTTGGTCCACCTGACCGTCCTTGCCCAGTCGCCCAGGTAAGGGGAGCTCTGTGTCTAGGTAGACAGAGCTTGTCTCCCTGTTGGTTTGTAAGTGGCTGAAAGCTTAGATTGGAAGCCTGAGCCCCACCATGCAGCAAGGATAGGAAAAGCCAATGGGGAACTCTAGTGTCCCAGAGGTAAGAAAGAGCTGAAGAGAGAGGAGAACATAGAGAGGACTCCAGGGACACTGAGGCCTTGAGGAGAATGACTATAAACAATAAAATCAGCTACCAAGCGGGGCGCAGTGGTTCATGCCTTTAATCCCATGCTTTTGGGAGGCTGAAGTAGGATTTCTTGAGGCCAGGAGATGGAGGCTGCAGTGCGATTGATCATACTACTGCACTCCAGCCTGGGCAACAAAGTGAAGCCCTGTCTCAAAAAAACAAAAACAAAGACAAACTAGCTGCCATTTATTGAGCACGTGAGTATCAGCCCTGTGAGAAGCCTCCTGCACGTACTTCACTGACTCCTCACTAACCAGCGAGGTGGGAGTGATGGTGATAAGGGTGGCACTTACTCATCAGGTTCTTGGGAGGTCGAGAAACTTACTCAAGGTCACACATGGATAGATAGTAAGTGGCAAAGGTCAGCTTCAAATCCTGGCCTGCCTCCAAAGATCCACATCTCAGAAACGGGCAGGCTGGGGGTCTCCAGCAAGGAAGAGCCTGCTGGCCCCAGAGGGTGCTTAGTTTCCCTGGAATGTTATGGAGGGAGTGGGCGAAGTGGGCCTGAGCATGGGACCAACCTTCCCAGATGGACAGAAGAAGAGGGTGAAGCCAACGCATCTGTGAATCTCTCTGATCTGGGCACAATTGCGTCCCATGGTTTCTTTCTGGACTCATCTTTGTTTCCTGTATGTGAGCTCTGTCAGAACTGATCTCTGTGGGTTGGTGGGGCCTGGAACACACGTTGTTTTTGTCGTTGTTGTTGTTGTTTTGTTTGTTTGTTTTGTTTTGAGACAGAGTCTTGCTCTGTCACCCAGGCTGGAGTGCAATGGTGCAATCTCTGCTCACTGCAACCTCCACCTCCCAGGCTCAAGTGATGCTCCTGCCTCAGCCTCCTGAGTATCTGGGATTACAGGTCCCCACCACCACGCCCGGATAATTTTTGTATTTTTAGTAGAGATAGGGTTTCACCATGTTGGCCAGGCTGGTCTCGAACTCCTGACCTCAAATGATCACCTGCCTCGGCCTCCCAAAGAGCTGGGATTACAGGCATGAGCCACCATGACCAGCTTGGAACAGACTCTGGACCAGGCTGCCTCACTGCCCAGGAGGAGCCACTGAGGAGACCAGAGCCACCGAGAAGCAAGTCCTGGAAACAGAATTGCTGCCCCTGCCGTGCTCTGAGAGTTGAGCCTCAGAGTTGAGCAGAAACAGGCCCCCTCAAGGGCCCGGCTGAACGCCTGCTGGGGAAAAAGATCAAGGCTCCTCTGTCTTTTAATGCAGGTGTTTTTCAAAGCTGGGCTCCTGGGACTTTTGGAGGAGATGAGAGATGAGAAGCTGGTGACGCTGATGACAAGCACGCAGGCGGTGTGCAGGGGGTACCTGATGCGGGTGGAGTTCAAGAAGATGATGGAGAGGAGGTGACACAGACCCTCACCTCCACCTTATCCTGCCCTCTCTGCTTAGCAGCTGATTGTCACTTCCTGCTTTTAGTCTTGGGATTTCCATGTGCTTGCTCTCTTTCCTTCATTTGTTTAACCCACATCTACTGAGCGGCAATCCTGGGCTGGGTGCTCTGCATGGCGCTGGGGAGACAGAAATGAACCCTCCCTCACAGGGTCACAAAGGAGTGGGAAGCAGACGCATGTATGGCTGGTTTTAATGCCTGTGACAAGCTCAATGTTCGAGTTATAGTCGGGGGATAGGGAACTGGCAAGAATAAGCCCCCAGCCTGATTAGGGGGTTGGAGTTGGCATGAAGGTGTCAGCAAGAAGAAAGCACTTTCTTTTTTCCTTTTTTTTTTTTTTTAGACAGAGTCTTGCTCTGTCATCCAGGCTGGAGTGCAGTGGCACAATCTCGGCTCACTGCAATCTCCAGCTTCCAGGTTCAAGCGATTCTCCCGCCTCAGCCTCCCTAGTAGCTGGGATTACAGGCATGCACCACCACGCCCGGCTATTTTGTTTTTTGTTTGTTTGTTTTGTTTTGTTTTAGAGATGGGGTTTCACCATGTTGGCCAGGCTGGTCTTGAACTCCTGACCTCAGGTGATCCGCCCGCCTTGGCCTCCCACATTGCTGGGATTACAGGCGTAAGCCACTGCGCCCAGCTGACGAAAGCACTTTCTGAAGCAAGCTCTACACAACCTGAGAGTGGGTGGTCTGGGAGGAAGCCCGACAAGCAGGTGGCTGTCATTGGAATAGAGAGCAAGAGGCAGGTAGTGGAGGTCCCTATGTGTCACATTCAGAAACCCAGGCTGCACCCTGTCATTGATGGAGAGCTGTAGAAGGTGTGTGCAGAGACAAGGGGTAGGATTGCATCACTCTGGCAGCTAGGAGAGTGAACACAAAGGCTATGACGGGGCAAGGCCACAGTGTGGTAGAAGTCCAAGTAAGGGATGACAAGGACCTGAAGTAGGACATAGTTGATGGGTGAGAGAGGAGGGCATGGATTAAAGGAATGTTTAAGTCTTTTTCCTTTGATAATTCAAGAGAAGGAATAGCAGCATTGATGACTAGTCACCTGCAGGGATTGGAGGGAGAGGGGAGTGTGGGAGGGAGCCTGTTCTCCCTGGTTCCCTGATCCCCTGTGTGGCTCTAACTGTCAGAGCCATAATGAACCGCCACCATGTATGCGTCAGGAATCACTCCCAGGCATCGAGCTTGGTGAAGCACATGGAAGCCAGCACGGAGATGAAAAGAATCTCAAGAAGGGAAAGAGAAGCCAGTGTTCAGGAATCCATAAGCTATGTAAATATAAAGCTGTGGAGGGTGAAGGGGAGGAGATCATGTGGGTGACACTGGGATGAAAACAGCAGCAGAAATTAGGAATACAGGCTGGTTGTGGTGGCTCACGCTTGTAACCCTAGCACTTTGGGAGGCCAAGGCGGGCAGATCACCTGAGGTCAGGAGTTCAAGACCAGCCTGACCAACATGGTGAAACCCAGTCTTTACTAAAAATACAAAAATTAGCCAGGCGTGGTGGCGCATACCTGTAATCCCAGCTACTTGGGAGGCTGAGCCAGAAGAATTGCTTGAACCTAGGAGGCGGAGGTTGCAGTGAGCCGAGATTGCACCATTGCACTCTAGCTTGGGCAACAGAGCAAGACTCCATCTCAAAAAAAAAAAAAAAAACGAATAGAAAAGAAAGAAATTGGGAAGACAGATCAACTCTACCAGGGCAAGAGACTGGGAAATGACCAAGGACAAGTCCTGGGTTTCTCCAGCAGGAAGAGGAACCCCATATGGCAAAATGCAGTGAAACAGGGAAAATGTGGATGGAATTTAAGGCAGAGAAAGTTTCAAAAGTTAAGAGCTGATTAATACATCAAACATGGGAGAAAGACCCAATAGAATAGGAATGAAAGCTATTCCTTGCATTGAGCATTAGGAGGTCACGGACGCCCTCAGGCAGGGCACTCTCAGTAGGGTGGTGGGAAGGGCAGCCAGGTGACCAGGAGCCCGCAGGTAGCTCCACGCCCTCTCCTACCTTCCAACCTGTGCACGTACCTCTGTTTCCTCTGCCCCTCATTTGCAGACCTACTCTGGATCCAGAGGATCTGCCAAGCTTGGCTGCACCTCCTTCCCACCTAACCGAGAAAGACGGAGGATGGGGTCCGTCGGGGACAGGTTGGGGGTGCAGAGACCAGACCTTGCTGGATTTATTAATTTGAGTCCTAATGGGTGTACAGGGACTCCATCTTCTGCATCCAGTACAACATCCGCTCTTTTATGAACGTCAAGCACTGGCCCTGGATGAACCTGTTCTTCAAAATCAAGCCCCTGCTGAAGAGTGCAGAGGCCGAGAAGGAGATGGCCACCATGAAGGAAGACTTTGAGAGGACCAAGGAAGAACTGGCCCGATCTGAGGCTCGCCGGAAGGAGCTGGAGGAGAAAATGGTCTCCCTCCTGCAGGAGAAGAATGACCTCCAATTGCAGGTCCAGTCTGTAAGTACCTTCTACTTGAGAACGCAAAACACAGACTCTGGAGGACAGAAAAGGGGGAGGAACATTGAGGGCGCCATCAGGTGTCTATTCGAGAGACAGTGGTGCCACCCAGTGGTCATGTGGAGTATTGCAGCACCACCTTGCTCGTAAAAGGATGCCTGGTCCCGGGCTTAGCAAAGCAGTGAATGCCGGAAATTATGTCTGCAAAGAGAATTTGTGCTCTCCCTGATTTCTCCCCGTCATCGCAGAGTTAGATATATTTTGCTGTGGGCATGAGGGATATATATGTGTCATATGTATATGCACCACAGCTTTTAAAAATCAATAAAAATAAAAATAATCAAAATTAAATAACCCAATTCAAAGTAGCAAGAGTAATTTTCTATATATTATTTACAATAATATGTAAAAAGTGCTTTAGGCCGGGCGTGGTAGCTCATGCCTGTAAGCCCAACACTTTGGGAGGCTGAGGTGGGAGGATCGCTTGAGCCCAGGAGTTCAAGACCAGCCTGGGTATCATGGCAAAACCCCATCTCTGTAAAAAAATTTTTAAAAACTAGCAGGCGGCCGGGCGCGGTGGCTCACGCCTGTAATCCCAGCACTTTGGGAGGCCGAGGCGGGAGGATCACGAGGTCAGGAGATCGAGACCATCCCGGCTAAAACGGTGAAACCCCGTCTCTACTAAAAATACAAAAAATTAGCCGGGCGTAGTGGCGGGCGCCTGTAGTCCCAGCTACTTGGGAGGCTGAGGCAGGAGAATGGCGTGAACCTGGGAGGCGGAGCTTGCAGTGAGCTGAGATCGCGCCACTGCACTCCAGCCTGGGCGACAGAGCGAGACTCCGTCTCAAAAAAAAAAAAAAAAAAAAAAAAAAAAAAAAAAAAAACTAGTAGGCATGGTGGTGCATGTCTCTAGTCCAAGATACTCAGAAGGCTGAGGTGGGAGAATCACCTGAGCCCAGGTAGTCGAGGTTGCAGTGAGCTGAGAACATGCCACTGCACTCCAGCCTGGGCAACACAGTGAGACCCCGATCTCAAAAAAAAAAAGTGCTTTAAAGATACATAGTTTTATCAAAGAAATGGGGCAGTATAGGCTGGACGCGGTGGCTCACACCTGTAATCCCAGCACTGTGGGAGACCGAGGCGGGCAGATCACAAGGTCAGGAGATTAAGGCCATCTTGGCTAACATGGTGAAACTCCGTCTCTACTAAAAATACAAAAAAAAAAAAATTAGCCAGGTGTGGTGGCACACGCTGGTAGTGCCAGCTACTCAGGAGGCTGAGGCAGGAGAATCACTTGAACCCAGGAGGTGGAGGTTGCAGTGAGCCGAGATCGTGCCACTGCACTCCAGCCTGGCAACAGAGCAAGACTCCGTCTCAAAAAAAAAGAAAAAAGAAAGAAAGAAAGAAAAAGAAAAGAAATGGGGCAGTATAATTGTCTCTTTCACAGAGTGAAGGCATTTATAATTTTCCCTTTTTAATAAATCCCCAAATACTTTTACCTTTTGTTTTTATACAGAGCATTTTCCGCTCCCCTTTTCACTTTCCCAATCACTATAGTGAGTTAATAGGAGCACTTTCCCAGGTACAGCGGACAAGAGAACAGCTCTTGGAACAAGATAACTGGGTTTCTATCCCAGATGCTCCACCTGATAGCTGTGTGACCTTGGATGAGCTACATATCCTCTTTGTGCTTCTGTTATCTCGTCTGTAAAATGGGCATAGTCAGAGTACTCACCTCATCCAGCTATTGAAAAATCAGAGTGGTTAATGCCTGTAAAATGCCTGGCACACAGCTCATGTTTATAGATGTTCAGCAAACATTAGCATGCAGGCTTGCCAGTCTCCTCCCATGCATTACCCTGCAGTGTGTGTCTTAAAATACTCTTATATGGGCCGGGCGTGGTGGCTCACGCCTGTAATCCCAGCACTTTGGGAGGCCGAGGCGGGCGGATCATGAGATCAAGAGATCGAAACCATCCTGGCCAACATGGTGAAACCCCCTCTCTTCTAAAAATACAAAAATTAGCTGGGCATGGTGGTGGGCACCTGTAGTCCCAGCTACTCAGGAGGCTGAGGCAGGAGAATCACTTGAACCCAGGAGGCAGAGGTTGCAGTGAGCCGAGATCGCGCCACTGCACTCCAGCCTGGCAACAGAGTGAGACTCCGTCTCAATAAATAAACAAATATATAAATAAATATTCTTATATGGGAAGATATAGCCCGATTTAGAACAGAAGTAGCTGATCTTGGTCTGTCCAAGAGACTCACTGCAGCATCTTCTGGGACATATGTATTCAATCACGAATTCTTGGGTGTTTTTAATTTTCTGTTCTGTGGTTCGAGGAGACACAGCTAAGGAGACATAGGTAGAACTTTTCTGTTGAAAGGACCAGGCCTGGTGGCTCATGCCTATAATCCCAACACTTTTAGAAGCCAAGGCAGGAGGATCACTTGAGCTCAGAAGCTCGAGACCAGCCTGGGCAACATAGTGATACCTTATCTCTAGAAAATAAATAAATCCATATATTTAAAAATAAATTTAATGAAAGTTAAAAGATAGTAATGTTTTGAAACTATTTTGTCAGCTTGAGATAACATAGAGTAGATGAGTCATTTTCCAACTGGTGGTAGCAGGAAGAGTGAGATAACCAGCTGTTCAAATGTGGCAAATTTCTAGAGGCTTCATTCTTTAAAATGAACTTGTAATTTCACAAACTCCTCTGTTTGAAATTATTATAAGTGAGGCCAGGCATGGTGGCTCACACTTGTAGTCCCAGCACTTTGGGAGGCTGAGGCAGGAGGATCACTTGAGGCTCAAAGTTTGAGACAAGCTGGGAAACACATGGAGGCCCCATCTGTACACACACCAAAAAAGAAGCCAGTCATGGTGGCACATACCTTGTAGTTCCAGCTACTTGGGAGGCTGAGGTGGGAGGATCACTTGAGCACAGGAGTGTGAGGATGCAGTGGGCTACACTCACACCACTGCACTTTAGCTTGGGCAACAGAGCAAGCCCTTGTCTCTAAAGAAATAAATGAACAAATTATTATATGCAAATTTCTATAAGCAATGTTCTTGCTAGTTAAAAAAAAAAAAAAAAAAAAAAAACATGTATATGGACCAGGTGCAGTGACTCATGCCTGTAATCCCAGCACTTTGGGAGGCCGAGGCGGAAGGATCACCTGAGGTCAGGCGTTTGGAGACCAGCCTGGCCAACATGGTGAAATCCCATCTCTACAAAAAAATACAAAGATTAGCCAGGCATGGTAGCACATGCCTGTAATCCCAGCAACTCGGGAGGCTGAGGCAGGGAATCGCTAGAACCTGGGAGGCAGAGGTTGCAGTGAGCAAAGATCATGCCGCTACACTCCAGCCTGGGCCACAGAGAGAAACTCCATCTAAAAAGAAAAAATGTGTTTATGGGTGATATCTAAGTTTATGTACACGTGTGTGTGCAGTGTGTGCACATGTGCGTGCATGTGTGTGCATGACCCATTTCTTGGCTTAGGTGTAGATAATAAGCTTTTAGAGGGTGATACCCTTTCTTTGTAGCATTTTCAAAGAGGCCAATCAAAACATAAAATGACCTGGTTCTTTCAGGAAACAGAAAATCTGATGGACGCTGAGGAACGGTGTGAAGGACTCATCAAAAGCAAGATCCTACTGGAAGCAAAAGTCAAGGAGCTGACGGAGAGATTGGAAGAGGAAGAGGAGATGAATTCTGAATTGGTTGCCAAGAAGAGGAATCTGGAAGATAAATGCTCCTCTCTCAAGAGAGACATTGATGACCTGGAGCTGACCTTGACGAAAGTTGAAAAGGAGAAGCATGCCACAGAGAACAAGGTGAGCAAACCCAAGGGACTCCCACAGTGTCTTAACAGGCTTCACTCTCTCTCTCTGTAAGGAGGAGAAAGGGTGGCGTAGGAGTCCAGTCAATATAACATTGCCCAGAAATGAGAGGCTGGCGTCAAGGTGAAGGGTAGTTAAGTCCCAACAAGTTCTGTCCTCTGGTGTCTTTTCTACCCATAGACTCTTCTTCTTCTTCTTCTTCTTCTTCTTCTTCTTCTTCTTCTTCTTTTTTTTTTTTTTTTTTTTTTTTTGTGAGATGGAGTCTTGCTCTGTTGCCCAGGCAGATCTCGCTACAGTGGTGCCATCTCAGCTCACTGCAACCTCCGCCTCCCAGGTTCAAGCAATTCTCCTGCCTCAGCCTCCCAAGTAGCTGGGATTACAGGCACACACCACCATGCCCAGCTAATTTTTTGTATTTTTAGTAGAGACGGAGTTTCACCATGTTGGCCAAGCTGGTCTCGAACTCCTTACCTCAGGTGATCCACCCACCTCGGCCTCTCAAAGTGCTTGGATTACAGGTGTGAGCCCGGCCCCATAGGCTCTTCTCAACCCTCCCTGGCTGTATCACAAACTTCTAGCATTTCTTTGAGAGGAAGGACTGTTTCATATTCTTCTTCAGTTCCCATAGCACCAAGCACAGGGATTGCAAACAAGAAGGCCTACAGGGGTCAGGCAGATAGTGAAGGAGGCAGAAGACTGGATAACACCAAGGATTGACTGAGAGGAGCGGGTACCGGCAGGACAGAGACTGATGCAGCCTTTGGGAAAGTTATTTGGAATTACTCAGTCAAATTAAGAATCCAGATACCCTACGACCCAGCAATTCTGCTCCTGGGTGTATAGATCAAGGAATTCTTCCACCTGTCCATAAGGCGACATGTCCTAGGGTGTTTGTAGTGGCATTGCTTGCGGGAGACAGCTGGAGGCAGTGCCAGGGTCCACCACGGGGAAAACGGAGAACTAAAATGTAGTAGATAACACAGCAGGGAGCACTACGTAGCCATTAGGAGCAATGGCGTGTGCACACCAAATATTAAATACCTACTGCTAAACGGTGGAAAAATGTAAGAAAATGAAATATAGGGCCAGGTGCGGTGGCTTATGCCTGTAATCCCAGCACTTTGGGAGGCCAAGGTGGGCAGACCACGAGGTCAGGAGATCGAGACCATCCTGGCTAACATGGTGAAACCCCGTCTCTACTAAAAATACAAAAAATTAGCCGGGCGTGGTGGCGGACGCCTGTAGTCCCAGCTACTCAGGAGGCTGAGGCCGGAGAATGGCGTGAACCCGGGAGGCGGAGCTTGCAGTGAGCTGAGACTGCGCCACTGCACTCCAGCCTGGGCGACAGAGTGAGACTCCCTCTCAAAAAAAAAAAAAAAAAAAAACAACTGTAACATTGTAAATGATAACATTGTAAACCACTATGTGGACTAAAGAAAATATGGCCAGATTCAGCCCATAGATTAGGAGTTAGCAACTTCTGATCTGGAAGCCTGTTGGATGTGGAAAAAGGTTTCACTTACTTCCTTCAAGTTCCGTGTTGGGTGCCCTCCTCCTGCTTCCTGATAACACAGCACTCCCGTTCTGAATTTTCTTTCTTTCTTTCTGTCTTTATTTTTGAGACGGAGTCTCGCTCTGTCACCAGGCTAGAGTGCAGTGGTGCAATCTCAGCTCACTGCAACCTCTGCCTCCTGTTTTCAAGCGATTCTCCTGTTTCAGCCTCCTGAGTAGCTGGGACTACAGGTGCCCACCACCATGCCTGGCTAATTTTTTTTTTTTGTATTTTTAGTAGAGACGAGGTTTCACGATGTTAGTCAGGATGGTCTCGATCTCCTGACCTCATGATCCGTCCGCCTCGGCCTCCCAAAGTGCTGGGATTACAGGCGTGAGCCACCGCGCCCGGCGTGAATTTTCTTGCGTAGGACCTCACGCCTCTCCTCCCCTTCCTGCCTCATTCTAAACCCTATTCAGCCAACCTAACAAACACATTTCCACAGACATATTATGAGCGAATATAGATTGATGTTTTACCCTTCAGAGGTAGCACATTTGCATTTTAAAAGCGCCCTTCCTTGTAAAATATAATGCCCTCCTTAAATGAATAATCCTAATGGGAGAATTTGAGGCACCATGATAGACCGTTAAGGAAGATAAAGAACTGAGAGTCTGTCAATTCTAGGAGGTAAAAAAGTAGTAGCCAAAAAGAAAAGGGAAAAAGGAAAAATGAGCAAAGAAGCAATAGCTTTTGTTGATGGAAGCTTCTGGCATAATCGTTTCCATATTAAATCGGTGTTAATATTGTCCCAGGTAAAGAATCTTTCCGAAGAAATGACAGCACTTGAAGAAAACATTTCCAAATTGACCAAAGAAAAGAAATCTCTACAGGAGGCCCATCAGCAAACACTGGATGATCTTCAGGTGGAAGAAGATAAAGTCAATGGTCTAATCAAAATAAATGCCAAGCTTGAACAGCAAACAGATGATGTGAGGATATTTTACTACTATGCTTTAGCATTTATCACTTGTGGAAGCACAGACAAGAGACAGTCTAACTAGGACACAGGGCTTGAGAGGTCAGACTCTGGAATCAGCATCCCTAAATTCAGATCTCAGCCCCACCCTGACCCTGAAGGAGTCTGGGATACTGAGCAAGCTGCTTACCCTTGCAAAGCCTCAGTTTGTGCCTTGTGAAATGGCGATGTAAATAGCTCCATCTCAGAGGGTTTTCACAGAAAGCTCAGCACACAGAAAGTGTTCAGTAAAACATAGCTGCTACTATTGCTATCATCACCATCATCATTATTATTAGCATCCACTTGTAGGTCCTTTGGGTTCCAAAACCTCCAATCCTGTTGTAACGTTACTAAAGATGAGTTCCATTTGTGGCCATGAAAATTACTATTTCTGCCCCCGTCACATGACATTATTGTTCTTGATGTAAGAGCCACGTTTGAAGTTTTCAGGTTTTACTCACTATTGTGGCTAGAGATTTTCTAGATAACTTTAATGTTTCTGAGCCCAGGGTAGGTGTGCTCCTCCTCTACACCCTTTTCCTGTTCCTATGTATGCATGTGTGTATGTGCACACACATACACACACACGAATTCCTTGCCTCCCATGGTTGCATAATGTTAGCAGGCAAGGCGTGATGGTGTGTAGCACAGACCTTCACAGTGCTGTCCACAGAAGCCCCCATTTGTATTGTCTGTGCAAGAGTGTGCACCCATGGGTACCATACCCCTACAGGGAACATAGTCTGGGCCAGGCCAGGTGGGAATCAGCTGAGAGAGGCACCAGGAGGCCCCTGAGGGATCCAGCCCCACCCTGGGTAGTCTTTTCTGGAAGACAGAAGAGAGGGGAGGTAGGGGCAAGACTTGCTTCCTCCTGGGGCCAGAGGCTTGCAGCCAGCACCCTACAGGAGCCCCAGGAAGCCCCAGGCCACGTGTATGGCTACACTGGATAAACGGGGCAAACACTTCCCCAGCAGGGGCTTAATTTTCTACCTGTGTGTCTTCTCAGCTTGAGGGTTCCTTAGAGCAGGAGAAGAAACTGCGGGCGGACTTGGAAAGGGCGAAGAGGAAGCTGGAAGGAGATCTGAAAATGTCCCAGGAATCCATTATGGATCTAGAAAATGACAAGCAGCAAATAGAAGAGAAATTGAAAAAGTAGATATTTCTTTTACCACCTCTGTGTCTCAGCCTAAAAGCCAACTTTCACCCCCTCCAAGAGGCTTGTATTTCATGTTCTTTATTTTTTTTTAATCTATTTGCAGGAAGGAGTTTGAACTCAGTCAGTTACAAGCCAAAATAGATGACGAACAAGTCCACAGTTTGCAGTTTCAAAAGAAGATTAAAGAACTGCAAGTAAAAGCATCAAAACCTTCCCAATCATGACAATCCCTTTGCAAGAGCGCCCCTCCTCACTCCTTCCCCCTTGTTTCTTTAGCTGCTTCTTTCCTTCCTCCTGCTAAAGCTAGAGAAGATGTCCTGTCATTTCCTTTAGTTTTTGAAAATAATATTTTAATGTTCTGAATAACCCATAAACATACTTCCTTGCAAAGGCTCAAAATAGGCCCAGTAAAGCTAAATATTATTGTTAAGGGTGCTTTGATCGCCATCCCTAAGCCCAGTGCCCTCCCCGTCTTCTGAGAATTAATTGCCAATTTCACTGGGATGTGCATCTTTCTGCCTCTTTTGCTATGTGTTTTTGTACACATTTAAGACTCCCCAAAAAATATATAGTACACATGCAGAAAAGGTTCTTGTTTCTTCATATTCTTAGCATATCACACTGAGAGTATCACTCTGCAATTTGCTCCTTTCTTTTGGCAACATGATCTGCAGAGCTATCCATGATAGACGTGGATTTGTGTCTACCTGCTCCATAGACTTCTAGAACAAGTCTCCATCACAATCGATTTGTGCATTCTCTTATCCATGGACACTTAGGTTGTTTCCAAGTTTTTTCACCAATTTAATGTTATAATGTATTCTTCTTTTTTTTTTTTGAGACCGAGTCTTGCTCTGTCACCCAGGCTGGAGCACAGTGGCACAATCTCAGCTCACTGCAACCTCCACCTCCCAGGTTCAAGCTATTCTCCTGCCTCGGCCTCCCGAGTAGCTGGGACTACAGGCGCCCGCCACCACACCCGGCTAATTTTTGTATTTTTAGTAGAGGCGGAGTTTCACCATGTTGGCCAGGCTGGTTTCAAACTCCTGACCTCAAATGACCCACCCACCTCATGCTGCCTACCCGCAATTCCTCAACACCCAGCCCCTCTCAAAGGGGGCTGCCCCCTCCTCCACAATAACATTCCTGATAGAGTAATCCTTTCAGGCCCGCATAGAAGAGCTGGAGGAGGAAATTGAAGCGGAACACACGCTCAGAGCCAAGATTGAGAAGCAGCGCTCAGATCTGGCCAGGGAACTGGAGGAGATCAGCGAGAGGCTGGAAGAAGCCAGTGGGGCCACTTCAGCCCAGATTGAGATGAACAAGAAGAGGGAGGCTGAGTTCCAGAAAATGCGCAGGGACCTGGAGGAGGCCACCCTGCAGCACGAAGCCACAGCAGCCACCCTGAGGAAGAAGCAAGCAGATAGTGTGGCCGAGCTTGGGGAGCAGATTGACAACCTGCAGCGGGTGAAGCAGAAGCTGGAGAAGGAGAAGAGCGAGCTGAAGATGGAGATTGACGACATGGCCAGCAACATCGAGGCTCTCTCCAAGTCAAAGGTACCTGACTGGCCCTTCTGCTCTTGGAGAATGCAAGGCAGCCGACGGCCACCTGCCCCTGGGCACGTGTAATTTGATGCCTCCAAACCACTGCATGTTCTACACTGAAACCCTCTTCCCTATTTCTGCCTGTTTCTAGTTCCTCAAATTTACTCACGTCCTTTGTCTTATCCATTTGTGCTTCTGTAACAAAATATTTTAGACTGGGTAATTTATAAACAACAGAAATTTATCACTCACAATTTTGGAGGCTGGGAAGTCCAAGATCAAAGTGCCAGCAAATTCGGTGTCTGTCGGAGGCCTGTTCCTCACAGATGGTGCCTTCTCATTGCATCCTCATGTGGTAGAAGGGGTGAACAAGTTCTCTCAGGCCTCTATTATAAGAACACTAATCCCATTCATAAGGGCTCCACCCCCACGACCTTATCACCTCCCAAAAGCCCCACCCCCCAACACCACTGGACTGGAAATTATGAATTTTGGGGGGACACAAACTTTCAGACCAAAGCATCAAGATCACTTGATTCAAGCACAATTGGATGATCTGGCACCACTGTTTCGCTCTTGTTCCCCAGGCTGGATTGCAGTGGCGCCATCTCAGCTCACTGCAACCTCTACCTCCCAGGTTCAAGCAATTCTCCTGCCTCAGCCTCCCAAGTAGCTGGGATTACAGGCACACGCCACCAGGCCTGGCTAATTTTTGTATTTTTGGTAGAGTTGGGGTTTCACCATGTTGGCCAGGCTGGTCTTGAACTCCTGGCCTCAGGTGATCCACCCACCTCAGCCTCCCAAAGTGCTGGGATTACAGGCATGAGCCACTGTGCCTGGCCGATTGGGGCTCTTTAAGAAAAAAGTATACAAACTTATAAAAATTAGGCATGAAAGTTGATATTTAAAATGAGACAAAAAAGTCGCAGGTTACCTTGAAGACTCAAGTTCTTTTCTCCTGAGGCCTCTTTGGGCCATTTGCCAGAAATGCCTTCTAGAATATTCTGCTTGTGATGGCTCCTCTTCCCTTGAACCTTCTGCAGCTCCCAGACTCTCTGTGGCCCATGCAAATGCGGGCCCTGAAGCTTATTTCACAAGCTTCATAGTGAACCCACCTCTGTGCATGGCCTCAAAGCAAAGAATTCCTCGTGGAGCATGTGTGCTCCTCGATTTAACACGTGCCCTCCTTGCAGGGTGCTCTGAGCTGTACTAGGAGCTGTTTGGCTAGACTGGAAGAAGCAGTGGTGACCCTAGAAGCGAGGCTGTGGGCCTCTCACCGAGGGTTTCCCGGAAGGTCAGGGCATCTGTCCAGAAAAGGAAGGGAGATATGAATCAGAGAACTAGAGTGGTCTCTCCAGCGCCCCCTGCTGCCAGTGTTTAGGGTCTGCGTCCACGCAGCCCTGTGCCTCCTTGATTGCTTCTTCACTCCGCGACTGCAGCCTCTGGCTCCGGCTGATGACTCCTTTTCTCTTTCTTTCCTGCTTTCCCATGTGTTTGCCCTTTTTCCCTTGGTTTTCTTTCTTCCTCTAAGAACTTGGTTCTGTAAATGTTCCCCTCCCACACCTCTCTCTCGGCGAGCCAGGCCAGCCTGCAGGGGTAGCTGGGTAGGAAGGGCCTCCAGCATCCCCCATACACTATGCCTATAAACAGCCCCCACTCCAGCCTCCCTATCTCCAGAATTGCCGTGTGCTGCTCTCTGTTCTCAATTTTAACATCCAGGGGAAGCAGCACGTCATGTCTCTTAACGCTTTTTCAGTTGTCCCCTTTGACGATTCTCCTTGCAAGCTGCCATCGCGTTTCAACTCTCCCTGCTTTGATTCCTTCATGTTTGCGTGTCATCTTCTCAAAGAGATCCTAAGCTCCTCCAGGACGCCCGTGGAATTAGTGTCCCTGCTTCCTCCACTGCCATCTCATACTTACCATTCTAAAGAAAAACATATGCTCTATACATTTTATTTTCTATTTTATGGAGCAGCAGGAGGAGAGAAAGGTCAACACACACAAGGGTTTTGAACAAACTTCACAAAAATACAGGCCAACTGGAAGCCAGAGAGGTGAATCTCTTCATACGGCCTGCACCATGGGGAACCTTCTGTGTTATTGAATGAAATGCTTAACACTGTCATCTGAATATATTGCTTGCAAATATTCACAGGCTTGTATTGCTTGCAATTATTCACGAATCACTTATATTACAAGAGGATCCCAAAGATCCACTTAAAAGTGACATCTTCTCAAAGGGTTGTTTACAAATCATTAAATACTTATCTACCTGATGTTCCAAGTGATTGGTGATTGAGCTGCATTCACAAATCTGAAATAATTATGATTTTTTTTTTTGAGACGGAGTTTCACTCTTGCCGCCAAGGCTAGAGTGCAATGGCATGATCTCGGCTCACTGCAACCTCCGCCTCCCGAGTTCAAGCGATTCTCCTGCCTCAGCCTCCCGAGTAGCTGGGATTACAGGCATGCACCACCACGCCTGGCTAATTTCTGTATTTTTAGTAGAGATAAGGTTTCACCATGTTGGTCAGGCTAGTCTCAAACTCCTGACCTCAGGTGATCCACCCTCCTCGGCCTCCCAAAGTGCTGGGATTATAGGCGTGAGCCACTGCGCCTGGCCGATTATGATTTTTTTGAAACTGAACTTTTTTTTGTTCTGTACTTTTATTTTTATTTTACCTGACAAGAAACTAAATGATTACACTGTTCAGTTCAATGCTGGGCACTAGGAATCCATTTCTTCCCATTCGTGTTGACTTTCTGTTTGTTAAAGAGTAACATAGAAAGAACGTGCCGGACGGTAGAAGATCAATTTAGTGAAATCAAAGCCAAGGACGAGCAACAGACACAGTTGATCCATGATCTGAACATGCAGAAAGCAAGACTGCAGACCCAAAATGGTGAGAATGGGCAGGGCTCTGGGTCCAGCCGGGCCATGGGAGAGGGTGGTCAGTAACACTGACGTGGGGGCCACATCTGTTTGGTAGGGGAGCTGAGCCACCGAGTGGAAGAGAAGGAGTCTCTGATTTCACAGCTGACCAAAAGCAAGCAGGCCCTCACCCAGCAGCTGGAGGAGCTTAAGAGGCAAATGGAAGAAGAAACCAAGGTAAAGATATAGAGTCAGATTGAACCTGAGAAGCCAGGCTATATGACCACTTCACCCGTGAAGCTGGTCAGAGCAGTGCTACATCAAGAAATCTGCTGCAGCTGGGCACGGTGACTCACACCTGTAATCCCAGCACTTTGGGAGGCCAAGGCAGATGGATCACGAGATCAGGAGTTCAAGACCAGCCTGGCCAAGATGGCGAAACCCCGTCTCCACTAAAAATACAAAAAAAAATTAGCTGGGTGTACTGGCAGGTGCCCGTAATCCCAGCTACTCGGGAGGCTGAGGCAGACAATTCCTTGAACCCAGGGGGCGGAGGTGGCAGTGAGCTGAGATCACGCCACTGCACTCCAGCCTGGAAGACAGAGCGAGACTCCATTAAAGAAAGAAAGAAAGAAACCTGTTGCTTCTCCTGTCTGCCTTGCAGCATGGTGGGAACCTGTCCTTTAAGGTTAGAGGACCTTGGCACTGGATCTCCTTCTTCAGGAATAGAAAACCGTACCTATGGTGGTCCATCCCCTGGCCTCCTCTGTCCCCCGCAGGGTGGTCTGAGAAACTCCCCTTTCCAGCCAGGGCACCTCCTCCCCATCACTGCACACACTTGATCATTCTGCCCAGCAATTCATCCTGGCCACCTGAAATCCCCCTCCTCTTTCTTCTTCATTATTCCTGATGTGTCACCTCCTATACCACCTGATTTTAAGCTCCCCTCCTCCAAGAAGGCTCCATGGTTTTGGGAGCACCCTTGAGACAGTCGCATAAACATGAACATCATCACCTTCTTGATTTCAATGTCTAGATATTGTGTTTATAATACATGTCTCCCCACAGATCTATAAACTCATGGAGGGCAAGAATAGTTTGTCCCCACTGTACCTACTGTGCCTAGCAGAACAGTGCACACAGTAGGTACTTGGTGCTGCCAATTCATATTCAAGTATCAGAATAGGGGACTAAGAGTCCAAAAAACTGCATGAATGGAATTCCGAGGTTGCTGTACGCTGGCTAAGACTTATAGGGCAATCTTTTGGAATTTTCCCAAGCTCCACCTTTTTCTTCTGAAAAAGGACAAGCGCCATATTTGTCTCCCATCTTTCTGTTGTATGGTAAAGATCTTTGGTAGATGAGGGGAAAGGGGAAGTGGTGAGAACCCAAGCCTGAACAAGTACTGAGAAGAGCCACTGCAGGAGCGGGCTGTCCTTTGGCAAGAATACAGCAACAGCTGAGTTTTCCTTCTTAGGCAAAGTGTGTCATTTATTGCCTTTTTTTTTTTTTTTGAGATGGAGTTTCACTCTTGTTGCCCAGGCTGGAGTGCAATGGCTCGATCTTGGCTCACCACAACCTCTGCCTCCTGGGTTCAAGTGATTCTCCTGCCTCAGCCTCCCAAGTAGCTGGGATTACGTGCATGTGCCACCATGCCCGGTTTTGTATTTTTAGTAGTGACAGGGTTTCTCCATGTTGATCAGGCTGGTCTCAAACTCCTGGCCTCAGGTGATCCGCCCATCTCGGCCTCCCAAACTGCTAGGATTACAGGCATGAGCCACCACGCTTGGTCTATTGCATTTTTAAAAAGATGAAAATGTACAAATTACTGAAGTGGGCTGACAGAACTCTCTCTTTGATGGTGGCACCAGAGGGCGTCTTGTGGCCATTATAGTCGGAGCTAAACTGTTGCCCTTACATCCCTCCAATGGGAGGGAGTGAGGGATGGAGGCCTCTAGGCATGTCTTCTCTGCCTAGGAGGAGGAAGTCCAGCCGTGGAAACAGCGAAGCTCACATCAGCAATCCCCAGTGTGGGGACATAGCCCAGTGGTGACATCAAAAGATGCTTTCAGGCTTCTCCTGGTCACAGCATTCCATACCATTGCATCAAGTAGTGAGAAAATTATTCCCTTTTTAATTGTTCCAATCCTTCTGATTATATCAAGGAAAAGGCCTCAGTGTGAACCACACTTCCTTAGCATTTGCTTATTTACCCTATTAAGAAATAGAGGGTAGACCCCAGGCATGGAGTCCCAGCAGGCAACAGTACCTAGCTAGACATGATAACATTGCTTTATTTCCATTGCACTTATGGTTACCTTCTGTTTATGGCAAATGTCAATGGTTTTCCACTTACTTTCCTGTGACAGTTTACTCTTTTGTTAAATATATTTAAATATAATTAAGGAGTCCACTTGAAAAAAAATTAAATAAACCAGGTGATATGCTGATATGGCAAAATTGGTGAAGACAGCATAGGGATAATTCAAGTTGGGGGAAAGCGATTTAAATGAAAATACCTGAACTTGGAAAAGGGTCAAATGTTTTTGCAATTTGTCACCGCTGTCATTCCCAGGCCAAGAACGCCATGGCGCACGCCCTGCAGTCCTCCCGCCACGACTGTGACCTGCTGCGGGAACAGTATGAGGAGGAGCAGGAAGCCAAGGCCGAGCTGCAGAGGGCGCTGTCCAAGGCCAACAGTGAGGTTGCCCAGTGGAGGACCAAATACGAGACGGACGCCATTCAGCGCACAGAGGAGCTGGAGGAGGCCAAGTAGGGGCTCCAGGGTGGCAATAGCAGAGGGGGCCCGAGGACACAAGCCAAGGGACCAGGAGTCTTCATATCTTGAGAGATTCTTTCCTGCCCACGCCTTTGTGGTTTCTGAAACACTCGGATTGTACCCCCCACCCTCTGGGGGTCTCCCTGTCCTTCTTCTCGGGAACTGTCCATTCCACCTAGCTCCCTGGAGGTGCTCCTTAGGGACCTGCTTTGCCACCAAGCATTTTGAGAATCTCTCGGTGACACTTGGATCCTCCCCACTCACCAAATCCTAGGTCTTGGTCTCATCAAACACCAGTCCCTTCCACGCTATTCATTTCTCTTCCCATCTGACAGTTACCTACTGAAATATTCCACCTTTGCGAAGGGGAAAAAAAAAATCTGGTTTTCGTAGGAAAAAACTGGCCCAGAGGCTCCAGGAAGCAGAGGAGAACACGGAGACGGCGAACTCCAAGTGCGCATCGTTGGAGAAAACCAAGCAGAGGCTGCAGGGAGAGGTGGAGGATCTGATGCGGGATCTGGAGCGCTCCCACACCGCCTGTGCCACACTGGACAAGAAGCAGAGGAACTTCGACAAGGTCCTTCCCCAGCCGCTTTCTTTGTGAAGATGGCATGAGGATAATTCAAGTTGGGGAAATGCTATTTACATGAAAATACCTGAATTTGGAAAAGGGACAAATGTTTTGCAGTGGCAGTGGTGAAAACAACAGTTTCACGCTTAGATGTGTGAGATACCTGCACATCCTAGAAGGCCCCCAGTTGGAGCATCATTTCCCAGTTTCAGGGACTTGAGGTGTCTTCTTGACTACTGTGACAGTCCCTCCAAAGGCAATTTTATTTTTAGTGAAAGCTAATTCCGTTCCACTGAGATTATAATGTCTGTGAGAATGCAGCAGAGGGTCTGCAGGGATATCACAGTTTGGGGTCCCTGATCTAGAACAGTGCTCCTCCTCCTTCTTCAGTCCCTAAGGATGGAAGGGCAAAACGTTGGTGTTACTGACAGCCCTTGTTTGCATGAACTCTTCTGAGTCACCCCTGCTTTCTGCTTCTCCCATGTCCCTTTGTCATCTCCCAGGTCCTTGCAGAGTGGAAGCAAAAGCTGGACGAAAGCCAGGCTGAGTTGGAAGCTGCTCAGAAGGAGTCCAGGTCACTCAGCACTGAACTCTTCAAGATGAGGAATGCCTATGAGGAGGTGGTGGACCAGTTAGAGACACTGAGGCGAGAGAACAAAAATCTGCAAGGTGAGCTGTCTCCACCACTGGTGTGTGCTATGTCCCCCTCTCCTCCTGCCAACCCCTTCCCCATTTGGCCACAGCCATCTCCAGACACCTCCTTCCCACTGCCCCACACGATCCTCACCCATCATGCCTCACATTGACTCAGTTTGCCCCAAGGCCCAGACCTTTTTAATGTAAGGCACGGCAGCAGCTAAGTCTCATTTTTGAGAACTGAAGGAACAGTGGGTTGCTGAGCCCACTGCTCCGTTAGAGAAGACCCTTCAGTGATTCTGTCTCTAGGTGGCTTTGTATTCTTGCACATGCCACTGAATCCCTTAGGACCTCAGATTTCTGATCTACAAAATCAGAAGACCACACCCAACACTTTCCAAAGCCCCTTCTGGTTCTGCAGACTATGATTCTATGCGTTTTCCCCACAGTTGTTTTCTCTGGTCTTCTCTATGACCGTTTTGTATATGGTACTTTTGAAGTTTTAAGTTTCTATTCTTTACTTGTGGTTCCTGTCTGCCTAGTGCAGGTGAGGCAACACATCCCTGTCTTGCCAACACCTCATCTGAACGGCTGCCCTGTATTCTCTCCTGTATAAATGTCATGAATGAATCGCCCATCCCTGAATTGCCTGGCAAATGCCTATACTATAAACTGGAGCCTGTTGAAACAGCCTAAATCAAGCCTGTCCTTTGCAGAAGAGATTTCCGACTTAACTGAGCAGATTGCAGAAACTGGCAAGAATCTTCAGGAAGCGGAAAAGACCAAGAAGCTAGTGGAGCAGGAAAAGTCAGATCTGCAGGTCGCCTTAGAAGAAGTGGAGGTAAGTGTCTAGGATATGACATTCAGAAATTCAGGAGGACAGGGAACTGAAAGAGGCTGCCCTTCACCACCCCATGGGGCCTTTCCTGCCAGGAGACCCTGAGTCTCCATTGGGAGTAACATTCAGCCATCCCAGGGGCTGAAACATCCACGGGCTGCTACTTTATCTCCTAGGCGTTCTCTGGCACAGTTCCCCTTTGAAAATAAATAAATGTGTTCATTATGTTCTTCAATGTCTTCCTCTCAGGAAGCAGAAAATCAATCACCTAACATCCTGAGAGCAGCGCAGAATCTCTCAGTTATGTTTAACATAGAGGCACAGACAATCATTTTTGGCTATCAAGAATCCTGTATAATCCAAACACACCCAGCATCTCCCGATGCAGTAATCGGTGGTGGTCAGGATGGCTGGTGGTTTCTAGGGAAATACGAACCGACACAGGATAACAGGAGAGCAGTTGCCCTGTCATTTTAGAGAATAGGTTGACTCCTGATTTATGGTCACTATTATAATAGATACCCTCAATAAAATTTTCACTAATTAAGAAAGATACTCTATCTCAAGTCATAAAATAATTTGTTCATGAGCGATGCAAAGTTTTAGTCCCAGTTTCATCACTATTAGGGATATTTGGGAGCAAGCCAAATACTCAGACCTCTCTGAATATTGTTCTCTTCATCTATAAAATGGGTATAAGAATACCTATTTGCAGCCGGGCATGGTGGCTCACAACTGTAATCCTAGTACTTTGGGAGGCCGAGGCAGGCAGATCACCTGGAAGGTCAGGAGTTCGAGACCAGCCTAGGCAACATGGTGAAACCCTGTCTTTACCAAAAATACGAAAATTAGCCAGGCACAGTGGTGGGCACCTGTAATCCCAACTACTCGGGAGGCTGAGGCAGGAGAATCGCTTGAACCCAGGGGGTGGAGGTTGCATTGAGCCGAGATTGTGCCACTGCACTCCAGCCTGGGCAACAGAATGAGACTCTGTCCAAAAAAAAAAAAAAACACAAAACCTATTTGGGCTCTGGGCACCATGGCTCACACCTGTAATCCCAACACTTTAGGAGGCCAAGGAGAGAGGATCACTGGAGCCCAGGAGTTCAGGACCAGCCTGGGCAACACAGACCCTGTCTCTACCAAAAAAAAAAAAAAATTTAAATTTAATTTTTTTAAAAAAACGCATACCCATTTGATCGTATGGGGATGAAAATACCCATTCATGAAGGTGGATGTCCACGGCACTCTCAATCACTCCTTTGCTTTCGTCAGGGTTCCTTGGAACACGAGGAGAGCAAGATCTTGCGCGTGCAGCTAGAGCTGAGCCAGGTGAAATCCGAGCTAGACCGCAAGGTCATTGAGAAGGATGAAGAAATCGAGCAGCTAAAAAGAAACAGCCAGCGGGCAGCAGAGGCCCTGCAGAGCGTGCTGGATGCTGAAATCCGCAGCCGGAACGACGCCCTGAGGCTAAAGAAGAAGATGGAGGGAGACCTTAATGAGATGGAGATTCAGCTGGGCCACTCCAACCGCCAGATGGCAGAGACCCAGAAGCATCTGCGCACGGTCCAGGGCCAGCTCAAGGTGAGCACGGTGGCCGCCTCTGCGTACCTGGACGGGCCCCAGCCTGCCAGGCGGCTCTGGCCTCACTCTGGGTCTCCCCTGCAGGACTCCCAGCTGCATCTCGATGACGCCCTGAGGAGCAATGAGGACCTCAAGGAGCAGCTGGCCATCGTGGAGCGCAGGAATGGCCTCCTGCTGGAGGAGCTGGAGGAAATGAAGGTGGCCCTGGAACAGACGGAGCGGACCCGCAGGCTGTCAGAGCAGGAGCTGCTGGACGCCAGCGACCGCGTGCAGCTCCTGCACTCCCAGGTGCGTCGGCCCTCACTCCTCCGCTGAAGGTCCACCCTGGGGCAGATAGCGCCTCCTGCACCGTGCAGCTGCTTCCGCTATCCCTCCACTCAGGGCCCACGCCGTGGGAAGGAGCACCCGGTTTCTCCCAGACTAGTGGTCAAGACAAATTTTCTTTTAAGCTTGCTTCTTGGAATAACTGACTCTTGATTGACAGATTTCTGAGCTTTCTCTCATCCAAACATTAAACATCTTGCACGTTGTGGGGAAATCAGAGCAACGAAGGATTAATTATTACGTAAGGCACCTGGAAGTACTATTTAAGTGGAAACCTTAGAATATTAAGATTTTATTTCAAAATAATTATTTTTGACCCGGCTCAGCGCCACACCTATAATCCCAGCACTTTGGGAGGCCAAGGTGGGAGGTTTGCTTTAGCCCAGGAGTTGAAGCTGCAATGAACTATGATCATGCCACTGCACTCCAGCCTGGGCAACAGAGGGAGACCCTGCCAAAAAAATAAACAAACAAACAACAACAACAAAAACACAAAATAATTATTTTTATAAAAGTTTTTAAAACTCCTTTGTTTAAAAAAATAGAAAAAACAAGTAAATACATGGAAGAAAAAAGTCAAGCATATTATTAACATTCTGGGGTCTCTCATTCTTAGGCCCATTGTGAATTATATAAATATTATATTTTTGCCTCTAATCCCAGGAATTTGGGATTGTTTGATCTCAGGAGTCTGAGACCAGCGTGGGCAATATGGCAAAACCTTGTCTCTACAAAAAAAAAAAAAAAAAAAAAAGTTTTAATTAAAAATAAATACATATATATATAGTCAAAGTATGAGCAATCTTTTGCAACCTCTTTTTTGAATTTAACAATCATGAACATATTTTGACATCTTTTTTTTTTTTTTTTGAGACAGAGCAGAGTCTCTTTCTGTCGCCAGGCTGGAGTGCAGTGGTGCGATCTCAGTTCACTGCAATCTCTGCCTCCTAGGTTCAAGCGATTCTCCTGCCTCAGCCTCCTGAGTAGCTGGGATTACAGGTGCTTGTCACCACACCCAGCTAATTTTTGTATTTTTGTAGAGACGGGGTTTCACCATGTTGGCCAGGATTGTCTCGATCTCCTGACTTCAGGTGATCCGCCCGCCTCAGCCTCCCAAAGCTCTGGGATTACAGGCATGAGCCACTGTGCCCAGCTTCGACATCTTTAAATAGTCTTCTATATGATTTTTAATGACAGAAAAGTAGGCTATTCTACTTGTATATTATGGCCCTTTCATTTAATCAGTCTTCTGTGGTTATTTTAGATTGTTCTCAATAAAAATTTTACTTTTAGAAAGACTATTTTGATGAACTTCCTCATAACTAAATTTTCATATACTTCTATGATTACTATAATCTTAATATTTCTAGAAGTAAATAAATTTCTAAAAATGAAATTTCAAGGTCCAAACAGCAAAAGTATTTGTAATATAAATTGTTCTTTAACAAGGTTGTCCCAATTTTTATTTCCACTGGGGAAACGTGTGAGAGTTCTCTTCTATAAATTCTCAAATACTCTAGCTCTTATTTTAAAAATCTTCACCAATTTTATTGCTGAAACATACCTCACTGAGTTTTTAGTATTTTTTTTATTGCTAATGAGGTGGAACATTTTATCACATTTGTTGGCCATTTGAATTTCTTCTAGTATTTTACCCATTTGTAGTTTTTGCCCTTTTTTTAATTGATTTGCCTTATTTGTATGTTAAGAAAGGGAATATTTTCTTCTGTAATGTACATTGCAAATGTTTTCCAGTTTGTCGTCACCCCTTACAATTCTATTTATGGCATATTTTGATTATTTAAATTATTTTTCATTTCATATAGTATGTCTATCATCATTTCCTTGTTCCAAGACTTTTTACTGAATAATCTATCCATCCTCAAATATTTGAAATTCTACTTTTATCATTTACTGAATTCTTTCATGTACAATTCTTGGGTCTGTTTCAGGACTTTCTGTTCAGTTAAGAATAAAGAAAGAATGTACAGTACTGTACCCAGCAGGTCACCCATGTGAAAAATAAGAAATGGAACAGGATCACAATTTACTTCCCTCCCCAGCCAACCCTCTCCCAATTTTTTTAAGCGCCCCAATAGAACCCACACCCCTGATATCTAATTCTTCTTGTAGAACACAAGCCTGATAAATACCAAGAAAAAACTGGAGGCTGACATAGCTCAGTGCCAGGCAGAGGTGGAGAACTCGATCCAGGAGTCCAGGAACGCAGAGGAGAAGGCCAAGAAGGCCATCACGGATGTGAGCTCTGTTCTTCCTTTTCAGAGATGGGGTTTGGAACTGAGAAAGTGGGGCCTCTGAGCCAGGGTGTGGCAAGTATGTTTCATCTCTTATGACAACAATCGGTTAGTGGTGGCTTCCCAGACAGATGTAATGAGGTACAGTCTCAGCAGTGGCAAAGTGGGAGGGGAGGCTGTGGGGAATCAGCAATGACTGGCCCCAGTCAGACAGGGGAGGCTCAGCACCATGATCCCAGCCTTCGCCTCTTCTGCAAGCTCTGGGTAGGGATGGGCGGACAGGGCCTCTGATGTGTCCTGTGAACTTAACCAGGCTGCCATGATGGCTGAGGAGCTAAAGAAGGAACAGGACACCAGCGCCCACCTGGAGCGGATGAAGAAGAACCTGGAGCAGACGGTGAAGGACCTGCAGCACCGTCTAGATGAGGCTGAACAACTGGCGCTGAAGGGCGGGAAGAAGCAGATCCAGAAACTGGAGAACCGGGTAGAGTTTTTGAGAGGACTGTTACTCTGAAAGTGACAGCCTCGGACAGAACCACAGTCCAGAAACTGAGATGGTGGGAAAAGGCCACTGAATGAATAGATTGCAAATTCAGTTTCAGGACTGCTTGAAAAATTCCCTGTGAGCTTCATTTCTCACCTCTTTCTGTTTCACCTGTTCCTATGCCCCAAAACACACACACACACACACACACACACACACACACACACACACACACACATCTATTTTGGTATGCTCACACCTCAGTAAATGTAATATAATGATGTATGTTAATGTTCACATTCCATTTGCTATGCAGATTCAGATGCACGCACATACATGGAAAAAACTATTAACATATACTCTACAGTCATAAAATTACTCATTTTGATGCATTTACATTTTGGACCAAGCTTCACTTTGATCAACACAGCCCATCCTACATAAAATCTGCAGTTTCCGTTTTCTCCCAATCTCAGGTTTCCTTCCCTCCCCAGCTTTTCTCATCTGTCAGTGCAGGCTGCAATTCTGGCACAGGTATGTCTCTTGCTCCAGCCCCAAAAGAGGGCGATCGGGGCTTCTTCCTTTAGCTTGATGCACCAGCAAAGTTCAACCCCCCGACACCTGGACATCCCTGCTCTTTCTTTATCTGGGAGCGTATCCTGCAGTTATTATTCAGTTTCTTTGCTGACTGTTCCCTTTGTTTCCTGTCTCCCTTGCTTTTCCTTTTAGACCCATGTGGTTTATTTCAATCATTTTAAAATGGGCTCCACTAGTGGTTGACATTTTGGAGGAGGGCTCTGCGGAGGAGGCTGTTCGAATGTCTCTTGTCCCAGGGAGACAGGAAATGAAAGAGAGGGAGGAAAGGAGGATGAGGAGGAGGAAAAGAGAAGGAGACAACTTTTCCCAGCAGGAAAGCCTCCAAATACTGTCATTCTTTATGCAAACCACCCGAGGATATCCTCCCCAGGCACATGGTCCCATTAAATGTGAAAGGATTTTTTTTAGGGAGGTGCTAAAAACAACAAGGCCATAGACTTTTTGAATAACAAAAGTAAACACCAGGGAAGTTAGAACTTCCCCCAAAATTCTTTAATGTTTATTTTCAATTATCCCCAGTCCTATTCCACTACAATGAGTTTAGGCCTGTTCTTCTCATGGATCCCTCCTATGGGAAAAGGATTAGATCTCATGACACCTTCTGCCATACTTTGATTCCTGGGTTGGCGGGGAGCCCTCGGCCACCCTCCCCCTCCCATGGTGAGGCACCTTGACTGTCCTCCCATCCCCTGCCCGGTTATGTGACTTCCATAAACCTTACAGAAGCCTAGAAAGAATTCCCAGGAAAACAAATGTTTTGTAGAACCTGATGGAAGACATTTCCTGGGTCCAGGAGGTGGAGGGTGGGGAGGTTTTGGGAACAGCACCCAGAGTAAGCCTGTCCGATTAGTAGTTTTCAAGGCTGATCTAGTGAGTCTCCAAGCCCAGAGTTGGCCCTGCTCTGCAGCCACTGGGATTCCCAGTGGAGTGGAGCATGCAGCTGGCTGCTGCCCCTCCCTGGCTTCAATCTCTGGATTGTGGAGTTGGGACCACAGTTGGTGACTTATGTCCTCAGTGGCTGCCCTTTCCCCTCAAGACTTCAAGAAAGGCAGAAGCAACTATGAAATTAACAACACCTGTGTAGTGCTTTGTCATTCTAACAATACTTTCACATACTTTCATTTGATCTCCACATTTGAGGTAGGCTGGGCAGGAAATATTATCTCCATCCTAAATATACAGAAACTCATGCTCAGTGGTGGCGACTGACTTGCTTTGGGTCTATCAAGTGGGCCTGGAGAGTGCTTTGACTACTCCTGGCCCAGGTTCTCTTCGTGATCCCTGCTGCCTTACTTGATCTGTAAGTTCAAGTTACTTGATCTGCTGTAAGTTCAATGAACAGTTGGGCAGGTTTCACCTGCAAGGACAAGTCAGGTTAGCTTTTGCTGCCCTTGCCAAACGACCTGGCTCCACAAAAGGGAGCATCTAAGCAAATCCTGACCCACCAGCTATGCTCTGTGCACCTGAGGCTGCCTCTGCCCAGTAAGGGCATCTTATTCTCACTTGCTCAAAGCACCTGCATTGTCAATAAAATGTGGCTCCTAAGACCTAGGAGGAGACATCTTGGCAAAATCCCATTAGGGGATCGTTTTTTGTTCTAACTTTAAGTTCTGGGGTACATGTGCAGAACGTGCAGGTTTATTACATAGGTATAAACGTGCTATGTTGGTTTGCTGCACCCATCAACCCATCATTTACATTAGGTATTACTCCTAATGCTATCCCTCCCCTAGCCCCCTGCCCCCTGACAGGTCCCAGTGTATGATCTTCCCTTTACTGTGACCATGTGTTCTCATTGTTCAACTCCCACTTATGAGTGAGAATATGTGGTGTTTGGTTTTCTGTTCCTTAGTTTGCTGAGAATGATGGTTTCCAGCTTCATCCATGTCCCTGAAAAGGACATGAACTCATCCTTTTTTATGGCTGCATAGTATTCCATGATGTATATGTGCCATATTTTCTTTATCCAGTCTATCATTTATGGGCATTTGGGTTGGTTCCAAGGCTTTGCTATTGTGAACGGTGCCTCAGTAAACATATATGTGCATGTGTCTTCATAGAATGATTTATAATCCTTTGGGAATATACCCAATATTGGGATTACTGGGTCAAATGGTATTTCTAGTTCTACATCCTTGAGGAATTGCCACACTGTCTTCCACAATGGTTGAACTAATTTACACTCCCACCAACAGTGTAAAAGTGTTCCTATTTCTCCACATCCTCTCCAGCATCTGTTGTTTCCTGACTTTTTAATGACCATTAGGGGATCTTGAGTTCACTCTAGAATGATTGGCCCATGAGTCCATGAGAGAAGCCTGGGAGAGGAGATTTGAATTCTGTGTTCCTTTCATCCTACTCAGGTGCGGGAGCTGGAAAATGAGCTTGATGTGGAACAGAAGAGGGGAGCTGAAGCCCTGAAGGGAGCCCACAAGTACGAACGCAAAGTCAAGGAGATGACTTACCAGGTAGGGGTCCCAAAAACCTCCTCAGTGAATGCTGTATGGACCAAGCCCCATCAGAAGTGACCATAGGTTTGCGGGCCCCTGCCACGTGTACTCTGTTTGCAGGCTGAGGAGGACCACAAGAATATCCTTAGGCTCCAGGACCTGGTGGACAAGCTGCAGGCCAAAGTGAAGTCTTACAAGAGGCAGGCTGAGGAGGCGGTAAGCACAGGAGGTCCCCGGCAGTGCCCACAGACAGACAGTCCCTGGGGCATCCTGGGTGTCCCCGCCATCCTGGTTGGTAAAGTCCCCTGAGCCTCAGGCCTGAGTTTGTATTTGCAGGCTATAAACACAGAGACAACTGCCCTCTTCCTCTCCTGGTCCATGTTAAGCCTTCACGACCTTCACCATCTCTGTGCCCTCTTGCCTCACCCTACTTGGCCAGCCCCCTCCATCCCCTTCATCCTGCCCACCGTGACTCACTTGACACCCCCTAGAGCATGTTAGCCTACTCTGCTGGCGTTGGATCACCCTGACTCTCCCGAACCACCCCAGTCTACCCTCAAAGCCATTCCTGCTCCCATGACCTGACCTGAGATACCTCATCCTAATTCCCACCATCCCACCACAGCCCACCCTCCTAGGCATCTCCAGCCTTCCTCAGCCCTCCCTAACTCCCTCCACTCCATCCCATCCTTTTTCATCCACCCTTTGATCAAATAGGTGAAATCAATAGGAAAGAAATGGAATGGGCTAAAATCAGTGTTTCCCAAAGTGTCTTCTGAGGACACTGGTTCTGAGGGATGTTAATAGCAGGAAGGTGGGGCTGCCATGGGGAGGAGCTTATCCTTTTATAGAAAAGAGATCGTTTGGGAAAATCTGAGTTAAACAAAGTTACCCTGGTTGCTTTACTTCAAGGATATCTCAGATTTTGTAGATGTTGTAGAGTTTGATATGTCATCAACTCTACAAAGTGGAAGAAGGGTTCCAGAATATACCATTTCTCACTCTTCATTGACTTTAGAACCTTCTTATTGTATGCAGAGCATCCCTCAGGGCTACTGTTCTGAGGACCAAAATTTAGGGGAGTCTGCCCTGGACAAATGACTGAGCTTCTCCCATTGCTCTTTTTCCTCCCTTCCCTGGAGCCTGGTTGGTTCAATCCTGACCTCAGGGAAGCAGATTTGAACTGGTTCAATATTGAGAGCAATTCACGCACATGGGATGAGTACAGTCCCAGCAGGATCGGCAGGCTAGAGGGTGCCCAGGAGGACATTTTAGTCAGGAATCCTTGACATTCCCCCAAATAGACCAGTACAGTGGCCTGGCCTTAGACAGATGGTGCTGGGCAGAGGCACAGGACGAGGGAGACTTGGGCCATTGGTCTCTATACCTTCAGGTGCCTTGGGAGAGCTCTGGACTTAGGTCTCCCCCGAAGATCTCTATGGAGCAGATACCATATAGAAGAGATTCAAGGGAACATGTGGAGGTCCTAGAAGGGACAGTAGCACCTGCAAGGTGATCCGAGGCAGTACACATGGTCGTGAGCTGGGAGCCTTGTCCTCACACGCTGGAGAAAGCTTCCCTGCCCTCTCTGCCATCAGGGAATCCAGGGCCCTGGTTGCTTAACTCCTCAGAGGCCTTCAGAGACAGGGCACCTCATAATCGGACTGAGAGGCTCTACAGCGTCATACCCCCTCTGTCTCCTGTGCAGGAGGAGCAGGCCAACACGCAGCTGTCCAGATGCCGGAGAGTCCAGCATGAGCTAGAGGAGGCCGCGGAGAGGGCGGACATCGCTGAGTCCCAGGTCAACAAGCTGAGGGCCAAGAGCCGAGACGTGGGCAGCCAGGTAAGAGCAGGTACCTGAGATATAGGGGCCAGCTAAGAACAGATATTGAATATGGGGGCCAGGTAAGAGCGAATGCCTGAGTGTGGGAGGCCAGATAAGGGCAGGTACCTGAGATGTGGGGACCAGGTAAGAGCAGGTACCTGAGATGTAGGGGGCCAGGGAAGAGCAAGTACCTGAGTATGGCTTCTTCCCAAGAAATCCCAAGCCCCGGGGGAGTCCCATGGACCACCCAGGGAGAGCTTGGAAGATGACTGTTGATCCTCTCCTTCCTGCTGCTGGTTGCACACTCCCAAATGCTACTGTTTGAGCAAAGACTCCTGTGGTTCCAGGCTCTTGAAAGAATGAGCAGTGAGGCACGACACTGTCATCCCTGTCTGTCCCTGTTGCTACAGATGCTGCCCATGAAGCCCCTGTTTTGCAGGGCGTTTGTCCTGTCGCCAGTAGCTAGATTGATTTGCTTTTACAATGTTCAAAGGGAAACAACGCCATTCCTTAATATTCCTCTGAAGTTCCAGATTTTCCAGCTGCTTCACTTCAAGATGATGTTCAGTCTCCCATTTAGTTGACTCATTTCCTATGTACAATTATTTTTTTCTCCCACAGAAGATGGAAGAATGAGGCTCACCTGATGCTCGTTGCCATGGGACACCTCCGAGAGAGTGGAGGGAAAATGTGTGAGAAATAAATTCTCCTAAATACTCGGATTCCCGGCTCTGCTGTGTTTATTATCATGGTCCATTCCTCTTCTATGAAGCTGATATTTAGATTCTTGCTGCTCTATCGTAAATATAAAATAAGGAATGTGAAAGTGGAGGATCTTTGCTCCAAGTAGAAAACATGGAAATCCAACCCATGGCCAGGTAAATCACTAGCTTCCACAAACATTTAAAAATAAAGACCCTATATCACTCTACATCTCTCAGAATAGCTATTATCAGAAAGACAAAAGTGTTGGTGAGGACGTGGAGAAAAGGGAACTCTTGTGCACTGCTGGTGGGAATGCAAATTGGTACAACCTAATAGCAGTTTTTCAAAAACTTAAAAATGGAACTACCATATGATCCAGCCATCCCACTACTGGGCATATATCCAAAGGAAATTGAATCAGGATCTTTTTTTTTTTTTTTTTTTTTTTTTTTTTTTTTTTTTTTTTTTTTTTTTTTGAGACGGAGTCTCGCTCTGTCGCCCAGGTCGGACTGCGGACTGCAGTGGCGCAATCTCGGCTCACTGCAAGCTCCGCTTCCCGGGTTCACGCCATTCTCCTGCCTCAGCCTCCCGAGGAGCTGGGACTACAGGCGCCCGCCACCGCGCCCGGCTAATTTTTTGTATTTTTAGTAGAGACGGGGTTTCACCTTGTTAGCCAGGATGGTCTCGATCTCCTGACCTCATGATCCACCCGCCTCGGCCTCCCAAAGTGCTGGGATTACAGGCGTGAGCCACCGCGCCTGGCCTGAATCAGGATCTTGAAGAGATATCTACACTTCCATGTTTATTGCATCACTCTTCACAATAGCCACAATGTGGAAACAAACTAAATGTCCATCAATGGATAAATGGATAAAGAAAATGTGTATATACATATATATGTATATATATATACACGTATATATCTCGTATATATGTATATATATACACGTATATATCCATATATACGTATATATATGTATATATCTCGTATATATGTATATATCACCACAATGTGCATATATATGCAAATGTACATATATATGCAAATTTGAATATATATATTCATATACTATTGGGAATACTATTGGGCCATAAAAAAGAAGGAAATCCTGCAATTTGTGACAACATAGGTGAACTTGGGGGACATTATGCTAAGTGAAATAAGCCAGATGCAGAAAGACAAACACTGCATGACCTCACTTCTATGTGGAATCTAAGATAGTCAAACTCATAGAGGCAAAGAGTAGAATAATGGTTGCCAGAGGCTGGGAGTAGGAGGAAGTGGGAAGATGTTTATCAAAGGGTACACATTTTCAGTTATACAAGATGAATACATTCTGGAGATCTACAGCACCAGGCCTATCTATAGTTAATAATGTATGCATGTATTAAAACATCAATTTGTGTACCTTAAATATATACAATTCCTTTTGTCAATTATACTTCAATAAAGCTGAAAACATCCAAAAGGAAGGAAGAAGAGAAGGAAGGAAAGAAAATAAAGATTCTTTCAGATAACTGTAGTACATTTTCCTCCTAGGAACTCATAATTCTTGCAATTTACTTCCTCATTTTCTCTCTGAATTTACAGATAGGGACACTGGGGCCCAGATGGATTAAGCACTGTGACTATAGTTGTCTAGGGCAGAGTGGAAATTACACCCTGGAGATCCTAGACTTGCAGGCTGCCAAGCAACTCTGCTTTTCCATCCCATCCCTTTTAAAGGCTTTGTCGTACAATTCTCTCATGCCCACCCACAGTTCCCCTTAACATCTGAGAAGGTAGTAGGTACTGTCAAACTCATTCACTCCTAGGAAGACAGATGCTTTAGAAAAGGTTGGATAGGGGCTCAGGTACCACCTTGCTCCTCCTTCCAGCTAGGGTAACTCCTCCCCACCTGCATGGAGCCTCCTCAGGGTGTTCAGGGCCAAAAGGAAAAGGGAGCAGCTGGGTCCAAAGAGATGTTAACTTTCCAAGTCCAGGACGAGACTGGACCCAGGCACCATTCTCCCTCCCCAATGGGAAAGAAAACTACTGCTAGTTTCACATCTCTCTCTCGGATCTTAAGGATCTCATCCATTCTGATTATGTTGATTTGCTTACCCTGAAGGGGCACAGTAAAATGGAATAAGGACACTTATGGGTGGATTAGGAGCCAAGTCTAAATGTGAGCCTCATCCTGACCACTTAATAGCTGTAGCTGTGTGGCCTTGGGTTGATCACATATATTCTCTGAACCTGAGTTTCCTCATTGGTCAAACTGACCTGTGTGGACAGAAGCACAGGCTTTAGGTTCTGGCAAACCTAGATGGAATCCCAGTGCTGTCACATACCAACTGTGTGGTCATGGGCAAGTTATTCTCATTGCTTAGTCTCAATTTCCTTATTCTGTAAGGTGTAGATAACAATAAAAATCATAGCTTTGCCAGGAGGGATGAGGCGGTTGGGGTGACAGCAAGAGGCACAGGGTTTCTTTTGGGAAAACGGATGTTCTAAAATTGATTGTGGTGGTGGCAGCATAACTGTGAATATATTAAAAGCCATTCAATTTTAGACTTTAAACAGATAAATTGTATGGTGTATGATTACATCTTAATAAAACTGTTTTAAAAATTCATAGCTTCTATTACCTGATAGTGAGTACTGGCTTACTATGTACCAGGCACTGAGATAAGTACACTATTCTTTAACATCTTAGATTATTCCTTCTCTCTGGCCTTCTAGATTCTCCTTTTCATCTCATCACCAGCCCACCCCAAATGCCTTTGACACAGTGGGGTTGGAAATTGAGGAGGATTGGCAGCAGCGGTGGCAGCAGAAAATGATTCTGAGGTCACCTTCCTCTAACTTCACCACTACCATTATTATGACTGTCATCATCACCATCATCATCATCATCATCACCGTCATCATTATCACCATCATCACCTTCATCACTATTAAAATCACCACCATCACTATCACCACTATCACCATCATCATCATCACCATCACCATCTTCTCAAGATCACCATCATCACCATCATCATCATCACCGCCACCTTCTCAAGATCACCATCATCACCATCATCATCACCACCACCACCTTCTCAAGATCACCATCACCATCATCATCATCACCACCACCATCACCATCATCATCACCACCACCTTCTCAAGATCACCACCATCACCATCATCACCACCACCACCACCTTCTCAAGATCACCATCACCATCATCACCACCACCATCACCATCATCACCACCACCACCACCTTCTCAAGATCACCATCACCATCATCATCATCACCACCACTATCACCATCATCACCATCACCATCATCATTGCTGAAAGTGTCCACTGAAATGATCTTTTCAATTGCCTCAATCTTCACAGTCAAAAAAATCCAAAGTCAGGAGGGAGAATAATATTATTTCGAACACACAGAACAACATTGTATGATGCTAAGTTGTCACAGGCCCATTTTTCTCTTTTCCATTCCATCCTCCCAACAAGCCTATTAGAAGACCAAGCAAGTGTAATACCCTCATTTTCTGGAGATGATGCAGACAAGTTATGACTTGCCCAGTGTTTGAGGAGGAGATAAGATTGCAGCTCTTCAGTCTCACTTTGGTGGCTTTTCCCTCTGCAAGGACAGGTGGTCAGGATCCTGAGTCCTAACCTGTCAGGGTCTCAATTCTGCTACCACTCACTAGCTTTGAGACCCTGGGCAAGTTACTTCATGACTTTAAGGCTCTGTTTCCCCAGATGTGAAATAGAGTGTAACAGTTTACTTTACAGGGTTGTTTTGAGAAGCAAATAAGAATACGCAAGAAGCACAGGTGGTATAGAGTGGGTCACACCGTACGCACTCTGATAACCTGTTATCGTGATGCGGAGGGTTGAGACCTGGCCCCAGGAGGTAGGTGGAGTACAAGACAGGGATTCAGTTGGACAACAGTCTGGGGTTTTGGCTGTGTCTCTAAGGGGTTTTCTCTGGTTTGAGAAGTTAACATATGGAGTTGGGGGTCATTTTTTAAATCCTGTGGATTCACTTCTCCCTGACACGCCAACAAAACCAAATCTGAATTCCATCTCCTCAAGAACTCCCAGTTCAGTGGGGGCTCTCTAGGATTAAGATACCCCCAAGAAGCTATGCACTTACCTGGCTCCCATATCCCAGCTCCTGACCCCCAGATCTCTGAGTCAGAAGAGAAAGAACCTTCCTATATCCTTCACAGTACATAACAGAGTCTTACACTTCATCAGAACTCTGATTATTGAAGGAATGAATTAATGAATGAATAAGAGAGACACCAGGTACACCCTGATGGTAAGTAACTAAAGATACATATCTTTTTTCTTTTCTGGGGACTAGAAGAAAGAGAAGAGAGTGAAGCTGAGGTTTGTGTGCTGAGTTTTCTTTCCCAGCTTGTATATGTCAAATTTCATCTGGCAGCCGGAAACCAGTCTTAAGCCCTCAGGCTGAGCTGGGTACCTCTGGACCCTCCTACTCTCTTGCAAAATGGAAAAGGAGGTAGAGGGGACCTTGCCTTGGGTCTTCCACACCATAAGATAGGGAGTGCACAGAACAAGAACAAAAGCAAGAAAGCTTGGGTTCCTATCCTGGCACATCAATACTTTCCAGAGGGCCTCGGGCAAGTCAAGAAATGTCCCTGAGCCTCAACATGGGGCTAAAAGTCCTGGCATTACCTACCTACAGGATGCAGTTGTTAAAAGGTTCCTATGCGATGCACAAAAATGTTTCCTCAACTATGCAGCATTGCCCAAATTGAAGATGGCATTGTTGCTTCTGTTTTACTAACAATAATGAAAATAATAATGCTGTTGTTGTTGTTGTTGTTATTCAGGAGTAAAACCGAGCCTCCAAACCTGAACTTTCAGCTCTAGGGAGTTGGAGAGCAGTACCTACCCTGGCCTAACGCCCCCTTCAAAACAGAGCTTTGCTGCCACCTCCTGGCTGTGGAAAGGCATGCTTTTCATTACACAAATGACCTAGAGATGATGAAACTCATAAAATCTTGGATTCGCTCTTCAGAGTCAGAGGTGTCACTGGGAATCATGTTCATCTGGAACAGCCCACTGATTTTGCAAATGACAAAAATCCAGACTAGTGACATGATCTGGTAACCCCTCAAGATATAGCATCAGAATCAGATATCCCAGGTCTTTTGGCTCCCAGACCAGGGCTTCCTCAACTGAGTATCCACAGAAAAGGACCTTGCAGAATCTTGAGATAGGGGGCTAAGACTCACTGGACAGACAAAGAGTGGTCCCTAGTGATGGCCTTGGCAGTAAAGAGTACGACATGGCCAAGGGTCTCTCCCCAAACCTCATGCTCCTCATGCCAGGCTGGAAGAGAAGTGTTGGTCCCAGGGGAGAAGCAGTATATCTACACAAATAGCCTCCTGCCCTTCGCAGGAACAGGTGACCAGACCCTAAATGTTTCTGGGATGAAGGTGGCCCATAGCAATTCCAAAAGCAAGGTTCCCTGGCCCTTTTTCTAGCCCAACACAAAGGACAGGATGTGCACTCCATGGCAGGATACTCAAGGTGCCATTTGACCCGTGAGACCCTTTCCACCTTTCTCCAACGTGCTCAATGCCCCAAGAGGTTGACATCAATGGGATCCCTTGCCCTGGCCTTTGGGTGGGCCTAGCCAATGGGGAGCTGGGCTAGAAGAGCAGAGGGAAGGAGGAGATTGAGAGCAGTATTTATTCCGCATGTCTCTCCCTGTAGTCCAAAATCCCATTCCATGTCAGGTATCCCAGTCCCCCAACCCTTCTGTCTCCAGGTTCTGGTAACCGAGTCCCTCTTACCCCCAGCTTGTACCTCCTTGCAGGCCTAGGGAAGATAATGGAGCCCTGTTAATAGACCTGGAATTCTACTGTATCTCTGTGGTTTTTCTATACCTGCCCACACCTTTGTAGAGAGTCTGTTCCTCAAACACTCCTCATATTATGCTAATTTGGATGTTGACATGGTTTGGATTTGTGTCCCCGCCCAAATCTCATGTCAAATTGTAATCCCCAATGTTGGAGGAGGGACCTGATGGGAGGTGATTGGATTATGGGGGTGGATTTTCCCCCCTTGCTGTTCTTGTGATAGTGAGTTCTCATGAGATCTGGTTGTTTAAAAATGGGTAGCACCTCCCACTTCTCTCTTTTCCTCCTGCTTCAGCCATGTAAGACATTGCCTGCTTCCCCTTGCCTTCTGCCATGATTGTAAGTTTCCTGAGGCTTCCCCAGAACCTGTACAGCCTGCAGAAACATGAACCAACTAAACCTCTTTATAAATTACCTTGTCTCAGGTAGCTCTTTGTAACAGTGGGGGAACAGACTAATACAGATGTGCTATCTGTTTTCTGCAGGTTCAAATTGCCTGATACAGGACTCCTGCCCTACACATCTATTTTACTGCTTTATGGCCCCTTCTACAGAGCAGGACCAGCTGACCATGCAAAGTAAGAGTGCTATCTCACAGCTATTTGTGAATATCTTCAGGTCATAAATTCCATTCAGTAGACAGTAATGTATTCAGTTTCACTGCACACTTCAACTTGGTACTGACCTTTACCAAAATCAAGCTTTCAAGATTACTTTCAGGTCTGTTTTTTAATTCAAGCCAGAGCTTACACTCCTAACTCTTGAAGAAGCAATCATTTCTACCAGGGCACTAGATGAGATCAGTGGTGGCCTAGAACTAGCTCATTCCAGCTCGGAAGAGCCAATTATAAAATTTTCAGGAATTTTGTGAGCCAGTTGTTAAACAGAGATGCTATCAAAATTAAATTATGTAACTTACAATTAAATAAATTATATTAATAAGAAAGGTACTAAATAGTCAAAACTTACAACTTCTTAATTATTTACTACAATGTATCTATAATCTCTTGCAGTTACCTACAACTATTAAATCTGTGTGGTGAAAATACTATCTAATCATGTGCTCTTTGTACCTCTTTCCATCTCTGCATTCAGTGTTGTTATGTTGTTAGCTTGGGATTAGCCATGGCTGGAATATTTGCACCACAGAAATTGGCAAACACTACAGAACAGGTTTTTTTCCTTTCTTTGTTAAACATTTACCAGCACATTACTGAGTGGACCCAGTGAAATCCTAGTAAAAACACAACTGCAGCTCTGTATATAAAAAACTTGGAGGCCGGGCGCAGTGGCTCACACCTGTAATCCCAGCACTTTGGGAGGCCGAGGCAGGTGGATCACCTGAGGTCAGGAGTTCGAGACCAGCCTGGCCAACATGGTGAAACCACATCTCTACTAAAAATACAAAAGTTAGCCGGGTGTGGAGGCACACGCCTGTAGTCCCAGCTACTCAGGAGCCTAAGGCAGGAGAATCACTTGAACCTGGGAGGCGGAGATTGCAGTGAGTAGAGATTGCGCCATTGCACTCCAGCCTGGATGACAGAGTAAGACTCTGTTTCTAAATAAATAAATAAATAAAATTTTAAAAGATATTGGAATATGTAGGGCCACCCACTCTTCCTAACCACCACAAGTCCAACTAGGTAAGCTTATACAAGGTAGCAAATTGAGAAATCTTCTCAGGACTAGGGATTTACATACTGCACAGTGCAGGGAAGGGAGGGAAGGCAGAAAGACAAGCACAAACTCTGCTGACCAAGTCTCAACTTCACTGCTATACTCTATGATAAGAATTCCTTCAGCTGTAACAGAAAGTCAGCTACAAGTCTTTCCGGGGGAAAAAAAAGGAAAATGTATTGGTTCACCTAAATGAAAATTCCAAGGGTAGTCAATTTTCAGGCTGACTGGATCCATGGATTCATGGTGAGATCTGGGTTTTAAAATGATTTCTTAATTCTTTCTCTCTTTCCTTCTCTCAGTTCTGCTTTCCTCTAAATTAACTTTATTCCCAAGAAGGTGACCCCTTTAGGATGACAAAATGGCCAGGCCTCTAACCTATATCTTAAAATCTTAGGAGCCTAAAGATAGTTCCAGCAAAACCCTAGGGCTGATTCTCATTGGCTCTAATTGCCTAGCATGGTCATGTGCACCTGGTCAGAAGTTGGTAGGAGGATGTGGTACTTTCATGAATCATATCTGATTCATGAGCCCACCTCTGAAGCTTTGGGTGGAACCAGCCCCACCCAGACTGCATGAACTGAGAGTCAACAGGGGTGTTTCTTATCCCTCCCACTACTAGGTCAAGTTCCTATTCCCAGAAGAAACAGTGTGGAAAGAGACAAGGAATTCCATGATGAGGGCTCACTAGACTGCACTGAGTCTATTTCTCACTTTTAAATTTCAGCTGGTCATGCCTTCCCATTGGATTACTGTGTAGACAAAACCACACGATGGCTGCAAACGCCCTCCACCCCCGCCCAAAATAAGCTATCTAAGAATGCCAGTAGGCACTTCCCCCTTTTCTGTACTTATCCTCACTTGTCTTTTTCCCACGAAAGAGACAGCGCTGCTAAGATTCTAAGATGCAGGCCATATCTCTTTCTTCCCTTGCTGTTGAACCAGCTGGCACTCAGACCCAGCAGACACCTCTCGTCCTTCAACTCCTGCTAAGAGTCCAACTTCTCTTAATGAATATCATTCCCCACCCCCACCCCCATGACCCAAATTCCATGAGAGGCCTCTCACTGCTGACAGGAGGAGAAGGAGACCATTGCTCAGAGCCACTGCCCCCAGCCAGGAGTTTCTCGTCCCATGACTCAGGAAGCAGAGATCCGAGTGGCGCCAGACAAAACATCTGGACTTTAAAAATCTGGACATGGCTGGGATCCGGACCCAGGGCCGCCCACAGCAGGTTGGCGGCTCCTGCTGAAGCTAGCAGACAACTCATACTTTCAACCAGGAGCTGACAGAGGACCTATGATGTGCCAGGAGCTGTGTATTAAGTCTGTTTGCATGCTGCTGATAAAGACATACCCGAGAGTGGGCAATTTACAAAAGAAAGGGGCTTAATTGGACTTACAGTTCCACGTGGCTGAGGAAGCCTCACAATCATGGTGGAAGGCAAGGAGGAGCAAGTCCCATCTTACATGGACGGCAGCAGGCGAAGAGAGAAAGAAGACGCAAAAGCGGAAACCCCTGATAAAAGCGTCAGATCTCGTGAGACTTATTCACCACCACGAGAACAGTATGGGGGAAACCTGCCCCCGTGATCCAATTCTCTCCCACCGGGTCCCTCCCACAACACGTGGGAATTATGGGAGTACAATTCAAGATGAAATTTGGGTGAGGACACAGAGCCAAACTATATCAAGCTGTTCCAATCACAGAGAGCACCATAGTGAAATAAATAACAAGAATTTGAAGTGCCTTCCTCTGAAAGATATCCCAAATTCATCTCGTCCATCAACTGCCCCCCTCGACTGGTTCGATTCTGATCTGCCTCACTTGCTCTCTCCCTTCCCTAGGAAATGCTTCCTTTCTGAGCCCTTTGCTGATTGTAATCATTCTCTTCTCAGATTATCTTGGCATTGTCATTATCATCTTAATATCTTCTAGTAGACAAGGCAATCCTTACATGGCTACCAGAAAGGATAAAGGTTAACAACAACTTTGTTATAATAAAAAAAAACTGCAAATAACCTAAAATGCTTAGAAACAGATGACTGCCTGAATATACTAGTAATAATTATAATTAGAGCAGCTAAAGTTAATTGGGTGCTTATAAGGGGCTAGGTGCTATTTTAGGAGTTTTTGCATGCCTCAGCTTATTTAATTCTCACAAAAACTCTATGCTGTGGGTTCTTATTTTATCCTCATTTTACAGGTTGTGCTCAGAGATGTTAAGAATTTGCCCAGCGTCGCGCAGCTAGTAAGTGATGGGGCCTGAGTTTACAACCACCATGCTACTCTAGGATTACTTGGAGGGTTATGTACATGTTAAAGGGCAAAAGCACATCCAACGTTTGGCTGCCTTGAGATGTATATATTAACGCATGCTAAAAGAAGTTAAATGAAAGAAGTCTACATTAATATACTCACACTAATCATAACCATGTGAAATGTATGGACATGTCAGAAAAGCCAACATTCAGGGGAACAAAATGGAAGTTCTAATCTACTTAAGTCTTCATTTCTCTGTAAAGCTGTGTATAATTTTTTTAAGTTATCTACCTATGAGTTTTATGCCCTCTGGGCTAGGCAAATTATTCACTAATTTGACAGATGAATCCTTGCTGAGATGTTAACGAGTGAGACTGGCTCAATCCCTTCACGCCTTCCCAGAAAAGACATTTTATAAGAACTTCTGAAAACAAAGCCTTGGCTCAAGACTGGCTTTCGGGGAGTGAGCTTGGCTCTGGGCAGTCCTGAGAGATAAAGAAGAAACATTGGGTTAGTGAAGATGGGGCATCCTTGTGAAGGGTCTTGGCCTCGTCAGAAGCCCCTCTCCAGAGCAAACAAGCAACCCCTCTCACCTCTCTATGCTATCCTCCCTTCCCTTAAGTTCCCCAGGATGCTTTAAGGAGTGAGTGGAGGAAGGAAAGCCCAGGTTACTAGAGTCAAATTGAGGTGACTCTAGATGGGGCAGGCAGGGGTCCTCTGAGAGATCAGTGAGAGCAGGAGGCACACCAGGGCAAGAGTCCAGGTTAGGCAGATGCACATTCCACTGTCCAGCTCTGGGGTAATTTCCTTCCTCCAGCTGCAAGAGCTTCCCAGAAGCCTGAGCCATCTGAAAATCCCCCAAGGGCTGGAGCCAGCCCAGGAAACACTGAACAAAACAGCTACAAATGCTGGTGGCGAGGGGTAGGGGGAAGAATGAGAAAAAAGAAGAGGAGAACTGGCTTTGGGGCAGTGAAAAGATAGCATCTATGGGGCCAGCATGTATGGTGTGGGGAGCAGATCTGGAAATATTGCGGATGTGGAAGAGTTGAGAGAACTGGTCATATTTAGCCTAGAGAAGAAGCTTGGAGAATGGGAGGATGATGATTAGCTTCAAATATTAGGTAGACACTCATGAGAAAAGATATCAGATGTATTCTGCACTGCTCTAGTCTAGAGCTTGCTATTCTAAGTGTGGTCCATGGACTAGCAGCATCAATATCCCGTGGGCACTTAGAAATACAAAATTTTAGGTCCCTCCCAGATGTAGTGAACTCATCCTTCACAGGATCCCCAGGTGACTTGTGCCCACATTAAGTTTGAGAAGTGCAGATCTGGAGCACCGCCACTCAAGTCATGGTCCGGGGACAAGTGCTCATCTCCTGAACTGTTTGTTAATGATCTTCCATGGGGTAAGTATAGAAATTGAGAGCGTTTGGATGCTTTTTCTTTTTTTCTTTTCTTTTCTTTTTTTTTTTTTTTTGAGATGGAGTTTCACTGTTGTTGCCCAGGCTGAAGTGCAATGGTGCAATCTCAGCTTACTGTAACCTCCTCCTCCTGGGTTCAGGCAATTCTCCTGCCTCAGCCTCCAGAATAGCTGGGATTACAGGCATGTGCCACCATGCCTGGCTTATTTTTTGTATTTTTAGTAGAGACAGGGTTTCACCATGTTGGTCAGGCTGGTCTCGAACTCCTGACCTCAGGTGATCCGCTCGCCTCGGCCTCCCAAAGTGCTGGGATTATGGCGTGAGCCACCGCACCTGGCCATTTGGACACTTTTAAAGCAATTTAATGCTGTGGTGACATCCAAGTTCATGGTCAGCAGACACATCCCATTGAACAGAATGTATTTTCAGTGTTGCAGAACTGGTTGTACCTGGAAGGTCCACATGGATGGAGGTGGGAGGATCCTTTACCACAGAGAGTTTGAGAAGCTGTGTACAAAACAGTGGTTCCCAAACTTCATCAAGTCTCCGAATCACCAGGAGGGCTTATTAAAATGCAGACTGCCGACCCCATCCCCAAAGTTTCTGATTCACTAGTTCTGGGGTGGGGCCTGTGAATCTGCATTGCTAACAAGCTCCCAGGGGTGCTGATGCTGGTGGTACTATAACCACACAGTGAGAACTACTGATCTAGATTAAAAGACAGGTCCAGAGCAGTAGATAAGAGTTATAGGACCCAGACTCTAGCTCAATATGAAGAATATTCTAAGAGTATTAAACTAACCCCAAAGCTAGCAGAAGCAAAGAAATAACTAAAATCAGAGCAGAACTAAATGAAATTGAGACCCAAAAATCCATACAAAGGGTCAACAAAACCAAAACTTTGTTTTTCAAAAGGATAAACAAGAGTGATAGACAACTAGGTAGATTAAAAAAGAAAAAAGAGAGAAGATCCAAATAAGCACAATCAGAAATGACAGAGATGACATTACAACTGATCCCACAGAAATACAAAAGATCCTCAGAGGATACAAAGGCATAAGAATGATTTAATGAACTTTGGGGACTCAGGGGGAAAGGCGGAGGGTGGTGAGGGATTAAAGACTATACACTGGGTACAGTATGCACTGCTCAGGTGACAGGTGCACCAAAATCTCAGAAATTACCACTAAAGAACTTATCCATGTAACAAAAAAACTATCTGTTCCCCAAAACTATTGAAATAAAAAATATCCTGTTTTTCCCCCAAGAACTATTGAAATAAAAAATAAAATCTTGAGACTGTAATGAACACCTCTATGCATATAAACTAGAAAATCTAGAGGAAATGGATAAATTCCTAGAAACACACAACCTCCCAGGATTGAATTAGGAAGAAATTGAAACCCTGAACAGACTAATATCGAGTTCTGAAATTGAATCAGTAATTTAAAAACCTACCAACAAAAAAAGCCCTGGACCAGATGGATTCACAGCTGAATTCTACCATACTTACAAAGAAGAGCTGGTACTAATTCTACTGAAACTATTCCAAAAAATTGAGGAGGAGGGACTCCTCCCTAACTCATTCTATGAAGCCAGCATCACCCTGATATCAAAATCTGGCAAAGACACAATGAGAAAAGACACCTACAGGCCAATATCCCTGATGAACATAAGCACAAAAATCCTCAACAAAGTATTAGCAGATTGAATCCAGCAGTACATCAAAAAGTAAATTCACCGCAATCAAGCAGGCTTTATTCCTGGGACGTGAGATTGGTCCAATATACACAAATCAATGAATGTGATTCATCATATAAATAGTTAAAAATAAAAATGATATGATTATCTCAATAGATGCAGGAAAAGTTTTTGATAAAATCCAACATCCCTTTATAATAAGAACCCTCAACAAACTAGGCACGAAAGGAACATACCTCAAAATAATAAGAGCCTTCTATGACAAACCCACAGCCAACTTCATACTCAATGGGCAAAAGCTGGAAGAATTTCCCTTAAGAACAAGAACAAGGCAAGAATGCCCAGTCTCACTACTCCTATTCAATGTAGTTGGAAGTCCTAGCCAGAGCAATCAGCCAAGAGAAAGAAATAAAAGGCATCTACATAGGAAAAGGAAAAGTCACATTATCTCCCTTAGCTGACAATATGATACTATACCTAGAAAACCCTAAAGACTCCAGCAAGGCAGGGCGCGGTGGCTCACACCTATAATCCCAGCACTTTGAGAGGCTGAGGTGGGAGGTTTACTTGAGGTCAGGAGTTTGAGACTAGCCTGGCCAACGTGGCAAAACCTTGTCTTACTAAAAATACAGAGCAGTTTGGAGATTTATCAAAGAACTTAGAACTACCATTCAGCCCAGCAATCTCATTACTAGATATACACCCAAAGGAAAATAAGTTGTTCTACCAAAAAGACACATGCATTTGTATGTTCACTGCAGCCCTATTCACAATAGCAAAGACATGGAATCAACCTACGTGCCCATCTATGGTGGATTGGATAAAGAAAATGTGGTACATATACACTATGGAATACTACTCAGCCATAAAAAAAGGCTCAAAGATTCAATGCAGAAGCAGACTTGAGAATCAGCTATCTTCTGGTAAGCCAGAAATTTTAAAGATTTGCAAAAATGTAAGACAATACTACTTTCAACTCACTATTTTTTGTTTTGTTTTGGGAAATAGTCATTTTCATAAAAATAGATTATATTAAGGTAATGCATTAATTATTGCTATCTTAAATGAATTAGTAATGTTTGTAATTTCTCAGTTTTATTGTCTAGTATGGTAAATTTCAACAGATAGGACCCAAATAAATGAAAATTCTTTGGAGTCTTCAGTAATTTTTAAGAGTGTAAAGGGGTCCAGAGACCAAACTTTGGGAAACCTTTTAGCTAAATCTTGAAGAAGTCTATTGTGGCCAGGAGTTATCTCCTTCTACTCCTCTCTCAGCATAGCCTCAACCTGTCCCCAGTGAAGTAAACATGCCCAGGGTTCAGTGGAGGAAAAGGGAAAAGGAAACCTCCCACTTCCTTTCCTGGAATGTGCCCTGGACAGCTCCCCTAGAATGCCAGGGGAAGTGTCACATCCTGTTCTCCCGAACAAATGACTGTAGAGGTCTCCCCATCACTGAAGGTGCTGAGCATGTCTGAGCCAGTAGGGAGAAAAGAGGGATGGAGGGAGACTCCTAGAACTACAGAACAAGGAGAACTCCTTACACACCCACACTACTATGCTGATCCTGCTCCCAGCCAATATGTCCACTAATAGCTTTGGAGGGAATGTGAATTTAGCTGCTGTCCTGGTTTTAGGGGCCCTGTACCTTCGCTTTCTATAATCCCCTGTCTTCTTCCTCCCCTGAAAAAAACAAGCACGTGGGGGCATCCCCCCATCGCATATCCTGCAAGCTTACAAAAACTAGTTATCCACCAGGCTTAAGGGAAGACTGGTATAAATGATCTGCGGTTTCCCATTGCTTCCAGCATTACAGAGCCCAGCGCGGAGAAGCTGTCATCTGTGCTCTATTCATTACTGTAAATGACTAGTGTAATACATGAGGAGATGCTTCGCGGCACTGGAAAAAAACAGTGCAGTGAAGATGGTTGTGAAACACTCATGTCAGGATTGCTATATTTCTTTTTTTTAATTTAATTTTATTTTATTTATGTATTTATTTTTGAGACAAAGTTTCACTCTTGTTGCCCAGGCTGGAGTGCAATGGTGCGATCTCGGTTCACCAAAACCTCCGCCTCCCAAGTTCAAGCGATTCTCCTGCCTCAGCCTCCTAAGTAGCTGGGATTACAGGCATGCGCCACCACACCCGGCTAATTTTGTATTTTTAGTAGAGACGGGGTTTCTCCATGTTGGTCAGGTTGGTCTCGAACTCCCGACCTCAGGTGATCTGCCCGCCTCGGCCTCCGAAAGTGCTGGGATTACAGGCATGAGCCACGGTGCCTGGCCGGGATTGCTATATTTCTTGGCTTTAAACACTGATGAGAGTGAAATGTTTAAGGAAGAAATAATTCCAGTTTTACCCAGACTCTTCCAGAGGAGGAATGCGGACAAGAAAGTCATGCCCCAGCTTATTTTATGAGGCCAGTATTATCTTGATATCAAAGCAAAAATTATAGGTCAATTTCACATAAGAACATCGATGCAACAAATCCTAAAAAACATATTAACAAACTGAGTTCAGCAATATATAAAAAAAATAATATAACCTGATATAAGGTTGGATTTATTCCAGGATTTTAAATTTAATTTAACATTAGAGAATCTATTCGAGTTAATACACTACATAAACAGATAAAAGCAGAAATTCATGTGATCATTTCAATAGATGCAGAAAATATATATTTGATAAAATTCATAGCCATTGATGATTTTTAAAAATGCTTTCTCTTAAACTGGGAATAAAAGGGAACTTCCATGATGTGAGAAAGAGTCTCTAGAAAAGTCTTACAAAAACATCATATTAAGGAAATGTTGAAAGCTTTTCCTTTGAGATCAGGAATAAGATATGAATGCCAACCATCATTATTTCTATTCATCAAGGTACTAGAAGTCCTACCTAATACAATACAGCAGGAAAAAGACACTTAAAATACAAAGACTGGGAAGGAAAGAACAAAATTATTATTTGCCGATTGTATACAAAGAAATTTCCAAAGAATCAATATATAAAATATTAGAATTAATAACAGGGTTCCGCAAGGTAGCTGTTTTCAAAAATCAAAGTACACTAAATGCAATGAGGTATACTGAATTGGCTCTTGGAAGAGAAAAAAAGACTAGTGGAAAAACTGGTGAAATCCAAATACAGCCTGGAATTTACCTGTTAGTAATGTACTGATGTCGACCTGTTACTTTTTGACTAATGTACTGTGGTTACATAAGATGTTAGCATTAGGGAAGGCTGTGTTTGGGGTATACAGGAACTCCCTGTACCATATTTGCAATTTTTCCATAAATCTAAAATTATTCCCAAGTAAAAGGTTTATTTATAATTTTTGTTGGTTTAAAATTTTCTTTTTTTGGAGACAGGATCTTGCTCTGTCACCTGGGCTGGAGTGCAGTGGCATGACCACAGCCCACAGCTGCTTCGACCTCCTGGGCTCAAGCAATCCTCTCACATCAGCCACCCAAGTAGCTGGGACTACATGCACACACAACCAAGCCTAGCTAGCTAATTTTTTTGTTTGCTTGTTTGTCTGTAGAGACAGGGCTCTCACTATGTTGCCCAGGCTGATCTCAAACTCCTGGCCGCATATGATCCTCCTACCTTGGCCTCCCAAAGTGCTGAGATTACAGATATGAGCTACCACGCCTGGCTATAAAATTTTTTTGACTTAAAATACAAAAGTAAATTGTACTTGTATATACAAGCATCAGATAATTTCAAAGGTTGAAAATTATTTTTTAAAACTATGCTGTTTCTAATTAAATAAAATGAATCAGGTTCTTAAAAGTAAATCAAACAAAGCATGTATAAGACCTCTATGAGAAAAATCATAAAACACTCTCATTAAGAGTGTTCTGAGGTGAGCAGGTCTATGCAAACCCACACCCAAAGGCCAAGGGAGCTGAGAAGCAAAACAAAGAGCCTGACCAATCCAGTTTCTCAGGAAGAAATATTTAATGGGGACTTATGAACAGAAGTGATGTCTCTGGTGGCCATGACACAGTGGATCCCCATACCCACCCTTCAGAAAATATCTTTTCTATAGCAAGTTTCTATGGTAAAACAGGTGCAGCTGGTCATATCTCAGACTTTCTTATTGCAACTCATGACCACTGGAAAGGTTAGGTGACCATCTTTATGATGGGTTGTCTGTGCTACAGGTATTGTTTTAAGACCTGGCTGCAAACCACCTTGGTATGCAGGAATTAAACATTGGTCATCATTGCAGTTTAGCTTCAAGATGCCTCTTGCCATACAAGAGGCTTTTTTCCTACACAGAACTATTTGATTAAAAGACCTAAAGGTATACCACATTCATCAATTAGAAGACTCAATAGTATAAAGGTATCAATTCCTCCCAAAATGATTTATTCAGTGCAATCCAAATAAAAAGTCTCTACAGAGTTTTCTTTCTTCCCTCCTTTCCCTCTCTGTATACATCTCTCACTCTGTCTCTCTCTATCTCTGCCTTTCTCTGTCTCTATCTCTGCCTTTCTCTGTCTGTCTCTCTCTTTCTTTTTCATTGACAGAGCTTAACAAGATAATTCCAGATTTTATAAGGAAATGTAAAAGATCAAGAATAGCTAAGACACTATTGGCAAGGTGCAGTGGCTCATGCCTGTAATCCCAACACTTTGGGAGGCCGAGGCCGATGTAATGCTTAAGTCCAGGAGTTCAAAACCACCCTGGGCAACATGGCGAAACCCCATCTCTACTAAAAATACAAAAAATTAGCCAGGCATGGTGGTGGATGCCTGTAATCCCAGCTACTTGCTGAGGCACGAGAATTGCTTGAACCAGGGAGGCTGAGGTTGCAGGGAGCCGAGATTGCACCACTGCACTCCAGCCTGAATAACAGAAGGAAACTCTATCTCAAAAAAAACAGCAAGAAAAAAAAACAGCTAAGACACTCTTAAAGAAGAACAAGGCAGAAATGTTTGCTCTACAAAAAGACTCATGGGGCACTGAGAAGAACATCTCTTTTAAGATAAAGCAGCTGGATTTCAACAAATAGTATGCCACAGTAAATAGTGAATATTTGTTGAGAGTGCTTGTTACGTGCCAGGTACTGCTCTAAATATTCTTGTACACTCATTCCATTCCTCACAACATTCCAAAGAGATAGACAGCATTCTTACTCCACTAACAATATGGGAAAACTGAAGTATAGAGTTTAATTGACATGCCCAAAGAGCTATTGACAGACCCGGAATTTGAACCTAGATTGTCAGAGTCCCACATTTAGTCATAATGATATAGTTTAGAACACGGATGAACTTATTGGTAAGGTGAGACTTAATAGTTTTTTATTTGTTTATTTATGTAAAAGAAAGAGAAATGTAATTAGAAACTAAAATCAGAACCAGAACATTTCTATTCAAGTATGAAGCAAACTAAAATATGACATGATTTTGATGGAGTGTAAAGAAAGAGTGTCCATTTGACTTTGACACTTGGGAATTTTCCATCAAATGGAACAGAGTTAGTGAGATAGGATTACATTTCCTCTTGTTATGGGTTGAATTGTGTCCCTCAGAAAGGATAAGTTGGAGTCCTCATCCTCAGGACCTCAGAATATGACCTTATTTAGAGATAGACTCTTCACAGAGGTAATTAAGTTAACATTAAGTTAATTAGGGTCATTGGGGTGGTCCCTAATCCAATAGGACTAGTGTCCTAATAAAAAGGGGAAATTTGGACACAGACATGCACATAGGGAGAATGCCATGTGAAGATTGCATTTATGCTGCCAAAAGCCAGAAGCTAGGAGAGAGGTCTGGAATTGATCCTCCCCTAGTCCTTGCCCTAGAGAAGGATGACTCTGTCAGCATCTTGATCTTGGGCTTCTGGCCTGCAGAACTGTGGAATAATTTATTTCTCTTGTTTAAGTCACTCAGCTTGTGGTACTTCATTAGGACCACACTAACAAACAAATATACCTCTCTACAGTTCTGATTACACTGCTTGGCTCAACAATGAAAAATAGTTAATGTCTTTTGTTGGTCTTCACTTTTTAGAGTCAATCTGTAGACAAGGCACAGAAAACTTAATTTGATTCATATGGACTCTTGAGGGACATCGAATAGCTGAAACAATTTTGAAAAGAACAGAGTTGGAGGTCTCATACTTCCTGATTTCAAAACTTACTACAAAGCTACAGTAATCAAAATAGTATGGTATTAGCATAAAGACAGACATATAGACCAATGGACTAGAATAGAGAGCCCAGAAATAAACCCTCACATATATGTCAATAATTTTCAATAAGGGTACTGAGATGGTTTGGCTCTGTGTCTCCATCCAAATCTCATCTCGAATTGTAATCTCCATAATCCCCACATGTCAAAGGAGGGACCTGGTGGGAGGTGACTGGATCATGGAGGCGGTTTCCCCCATCCTGTTCTCGTGATAGTGAGCAGTGAGTGAGTTTTCTAAGTGTTTGGCTGTTCCTCCTTCACACACTCTCTCTCGCCTGCAACCATCTAAGACGTGCCTCCCCTCCCACCATGACTGAAAGTTTTTTGAGGCCTCCCCAGCCATGTGTAACAGTGAGTCAATTAAACATCTTTTCTTTATAAACTCTCTAGTCTCAGGTATTCTTTATAGCAGTGTGAAAATGGACTAATACAGGTACCAAACTATTTAATGGGGAAAGGGTGGTTTTTTCAACTAATAGTGCTGAGTAAACTGGTTAATTCACATGCAAAAGAATGAAATCGCATTTTTGCCATATACCATATACAAAATTAACTCAAAATGGATCAAAGATCCAAAATTATAAAACTCTTAGAACACATAGGGAAAAAGCTTTATGATATTGAATTTGGCAATAATTTCTTGGATAAGGTACCAAAGGCCCAGCCAATAAAAGTAAAAATAAACTGGACTACATAAAAATAAAAACTTTTGTACATCTCACAACACAATCAACAGAGTGAAAAGGCAACCTACAGAATGGGAGAAAATATTTGCAAATCATATAATTGGTAAGGGGTTAACATCCAGAATATATAAAGAACTCCTACAACTCATTAACAATAAAACAAATAACCTGATTTTTAAATGGGCAAAGGACTTGAGTAGACATTTCACCAAAGAAGATATGCAAATGGCCAACAAGCACAGTAGTTTTGATTTGCATTTCCCTAATGATGAAAAGATGCCAACATCCCTCATCATTAGGAAAATGCAAATCAAAACTACAATGATATATCAGCTTACACTCATCAGATGGCAACTATCAAAATAAAATAAGAAACTAACAAAAGTGGGCAAGGATGTGGGAAAATTGGAACCTTTGTGCACTGTTGGTGAAAATGTAAAACAATGTAGTTTCTATGGAAAGCAGTATAATGGTTCCTCAAAAAATTAAAAATAGAATTGCCATGATCCAGCAATTCTGCTTCTGGGTATATGCACAAAAGGATTGAATGCAGAGTCTCAAAGTGATAGATGTACAGTCACATTCATAGCAGCATTTTTCACAATAGCCAAGAGGTGAAAGCAATTCAATGTCTATGGAGGAATAAATGCATGAGCAAAATATGGTATATCTACACAACAAAATATTCTTCAGCCTAAAAAGAAATGAAATTCTGCAATATGCTACAACATGGATGAACCTTGAGGGCATTATGCTAAGTGAAATAAGCCAGCCACACAGACATGCAAAACTGTATGATTCCACTTATATGAGTTACTTAGAGTAGTCAAAATCATACTGACAAAAAGAATAGTGGTTGCCAGGGACTTGGAGAATGAAATGGAGTGTTGTGGGGGTTTTTGTATTTTTCGTTTGTTTGTTTTTTGAGACATGGTCTCACTTTGTCACCCAGGCTGGAGTGCAGTGATGCAATCATAGCTCACTACAGCCTTGACCTCTTGGGTCAAGTGATCCTCCTACCTTAGCCTCCTGAGTAGCTGGGACTACAGGCATGCACCACTATACCTGGCTAATTTTTTTTTTTTTGAGATGCGGGGTCTCCCTGTGTTGCCCAGACTGGTCTTGAACTTCTGGGCTCAGAAATTAGCCAGGCATAGAGGTGCATGCCTGTGGTCCCAGCTACTTGGGAGGCTGAGATAGGAGGATCACTTGAGCTCGGGAGGTCGAGATTATAGTAAGCTGTGATCCCACTATTGCACTCCAGCCTCCCATCTCAGCCTCCCAAAGTGCTTGGATTACAGGCGTGAGTCACTGGACCTGGCCTGAATTGTTTAATGGTTACAAGGTTTCTGTTTTACAAGAGTTCTGGAGCTGAATGGTGGTGATGGCTGTACAACAATGTGAAAACTTAACACTGAACTGTACATTTAAAAAAATGTTAAGATGGACGGGCGTGGTGGCTCATGCCTGTTATCCCAGAACTTTAGGAAACCGAAGCAGGTCGTCGCTTGAGGTCAGGAGTTCGAGAACAGCCCGGCCAACATGGTGAAACCCTGCCTTAACTAAAAATACAAAAATTAGCTGGGCATGGTGGCAGGCACTTGAAATCTCAGCTATTCAGGAGGCTGAGGCAGAAGAATCACTTGAACCCGGGAGGTGGAGGTTGCAGTGAGCCGAGATCGCACCATTGCATTCCAGCCTGGGTGACAGAGCAAGACCCCATCTCAAAAAAAAAAAAAAAAAAAAAAAAGGTTAAGACAGGAAATTCAGCACATTTTATGTTATGTATATTTTATCACTGTTTTTTTAAAATCACAGTTTCAGTTACAGAACAGACTATAAATATTATAAACTCTGACAGGCTAAAACTGAGCATCCAGTGGACAGATGTCAGGAGTTAAGGTGGAGGGGGCAGAAGAGAGGCGAAAGATGAGTGACAGCACTGATCTTCTCATCCTCCAGAAGGGAAAGTTCATTGATACCATCTAAAGTTGGATAACACACGCAGCAGAGGGTAAGTGTATTATTTAGAGTGGTAAAGCTAGCTACAAGTGGGGCTAAAAACAATCACGTAATTGAAAAGAAAAAAAAAAAAAGCGAGTGCAAGCCAGATTTCTTCCCGAGCAAATTCCAAAGTCAATTTTATACCATGTAAAGTTGATATCCCCAGAAGAAGAAGCAATAAATATATGAAGGGAATTACATTGGTAAAAGAAATTCCAAAATACATTAACAGCTATTCCATGGTGGCAGAATAGTGTCAGTTTCGAGGTGGGATCAAGCTTCGACGAGATGCAGTGCCTGTTCCTGCCTCATTGGCACCCCGTGTACCCAAACCGTATCTCAGTAATTCCCGCTTTCCCGTCCACCAACTCCATTTCCAGAACTTTCATTATTTGAAATAACCCATCATCCATCGCCAGAACTCTTTTCATCATGTAAAACTGAAACTATAACCATTAAACAACTCAGGCTGGGTCTTCAAGACCTGCCAAATTATTACCTTTTTGGAGAAGTCCCTTCAAGACTCCCTCCTGCTCCTTTGTCAACCTCAGTCCTGTATTCCTCAATCCTAGAACTTGCCTTACTCTGGTAGCTAAGTGTATTCTTCACCGGCTAAAAGCTATCCTTGATAGCTAAGGCTGCGTGCCTCCTGGTGTGAGGGGCGTGGCTTCAGCCTCACAGTCTTCTATGACTTAGGAATAAGCACCATGTCAGGGAGTTGTAGAAGTGTGAAGTGTCCAGTTTTACAGGAAGACAGTTTGAAGATAACAGATCCACAATGGCTGAAGAGCTCTTTGTGTGGTTGGATTACAGATTAATCTTTTCTATATTATTCTCATTATTTTTTCAAATTTCCTACAGTGATTTTTTTGTATTACTTCATTTAAAAAAGTTACGCTCCCTCCAAAACAAACAAACAAAAAAACACACAAAAATTTAGTATAGCCCCTGGCACAGAATGGCCTCAACAAATGCTAATTCAATCTTCTTACCCCTCCATACAGGTGGGGGTTTCTTTGTTTGTTTTTGTTTGCTTTTGTTTTTTTTTTTACTCTTTGGGGTCAGGGACACCTTTGTCAACCCCATGAAAGCTGTAGACACCTTCCCCATAAGCAGTTGTGCACACAAGCAAACACATACACACAAAACGTTTTTCATGTGATTATTTTAGGGTAAAATAAATAAATGAGTGAATGAATTAATTAACAAATGAATAAATGAAGTGGTCTACAAAGCCACAGAAATAGCATTCCGTCAGACTCCCCCAGCATAACCTTAGGTAGCAGAAGTCAAGGCCAGCTAGGTGCCGTTTCCAAGTACTTTGGGAGGCTGAGGCAGGAGGATCACTTGCGTCCAGGAGTTTGAGACCAGCCTGCACAACATAGCGAGACCCCCATGTCTTTTTTTTTTTTTTTTTTTTTTTTTTGAGACGGAGTCTCGCTCTGTCGCCCAGGCTGGAGTGCAGTGGCGCGATCTCGGCTCACTGCAAGCTCCGCCTCCCGGGTTCACGCCATTCTCCTGCCTCAGCCTCCCAAGTAGCTGGTACTAAAGTCGCCCACCACCACGCCCGGCTAATTTTTTGTATTTTAAGTAGAGACGGGGTTTCACTGTGTTAGCCAGGATGGTCTCGATCTCCTGACCTTGTGATCCGCCCACCTCGGCCTCCCAAAGTGCTGGGATTACAGGCGTGAGCCACTGCGCCCGGCCGCGAGACCCCCATCTCTACAAAAAATAAAAAATTATCCAGGCATGGTGGTGCGTACCTGTGGTCCCAATTACTCAAGAGGCTGACTTGAGCTTGGGAGGTCAAAGCTGCTGTGAGCCGTTATCCTGTCACTGCACTCCAGCCTGGGTGACAGAGTGAGATGCTGTCGCAAAAAAAAAAAAAAAAAAAAAAAAAGGTCAAGGCCAAAGGATACAGGTGAGAAAGAACGTCCAAGCCAAGGTTTAGTGGAATCCCTCATGCCCTGGTTCCCAGAAGGCTCTGGCTGTCAACACACTCCACGGAAGATTCAGACACACTCTGAGCTCACCTCCTCTGTAAAGATTCTCTCTCTCCTGAGGTGAACCCAAGGGAACCACCAGGACCCATAAGGGCTTGCTTCAGACTCAAAATAGCCCCAGGCATTCAGAAAGTTCAGGAATGTGTTCAGAGAAAGGTGAAGGATGGGCTGAAGGGGTTCGGGATGCAGAGAAAAATCTTCTTAGTGAACTAGAATTCCTGTCTGGTGCCAAGAACAAACAGAATTCCCAGAATACTTCCTTTTGTTTTTTCCTCTTCAGTATCCATGCCCTTCCCAAGAACCCTGGCATCTGACAAAAGCTGCCAAAATTCTATTTTCAGATGTTATGCAAATCATCTCCCCGCCCCTGCCTCCCCTGGAGAGCCCAAATGAGCAATGAGCAGAGAAAAAGTGAGGAGTGGGGAGGCTGCCCTGGCATAGCAGAATCTAGAAGGCAGCGAGAGTGTCATGGGGTCAGGGGCTCAGCTAACTACTACCATATCTGCCTATAATAAAGAGCAAACTGGGAGGAGGTGGGCAGCAGACGCCCAGATCACCTAAACTAATGTCATTCAGCTATTCTAATTTCTGCAGAGCCCTGTCAAAGTGAGCTTGTTTGTTTCCAGGCACAACTCCTGGCAATTATTACCCCAGGGTTATTTACTGCCACGAAGGACAAAAGAGGAAGGAAGTGGCAACTAAGAGGCCTGGAACTTCAAGGTTTGCTCCTGGACTTCATCCTGTACCAAAAAATTGTGGTTGTCCCTGAAACTCAGGGATAAGGGGAAATGGTGTATTCCAAAGAGCATGTGCCCTTCACGTACCAAACAATCCCCAGAGGCAAAAATAATACTCATAACTACCACTATTTATGTTTATTGAGTGCCTACTCGGCTCTCCACACCTTCCTAAGCTTTTCACCCCACTACAATCCTGTAAGGGAGATACTATTGTACCCATTTTGTAGATGCAGAGACAGGGGTTAAAATTTATCCAAAGCCACACTGTAGAGAGGGAAAGAGCCAGACTCTCCCCCGGGGATGGGGTTCCGGAGCACTTCACTGTACTGCCTCACTAGTAGCAGGGATGGCAAGGAAAGCAGAAAATCCTGGGCTGGTGTTCTCTGCAGCCCTCCCAAAGGGTCCCTGGTCCCTCTCCAGAGGCTACCTGGGTCAGACCTTAGGATCTACACGGCTTTAGGAGTCACAGGGGCTCCATCAGGGCAGCTGTGGTCCAGAGGCCACCCGTTCTCCTACTCAGAGGCTCTTGGGGCAGGTATTGGGGGCTGCAGTCAGTCCTCTTTCTTCCTCCCTGTCACATCCACACCTCCACCACGTTGGCTCTGGGGACCCAAAGCAGGAGCTCCATGCCCAGCTGCAGATCCTGCGTGCTAGGCTGGCTCACAGGTAGTCATTTACCGTGAGGCAGGGCCAAGCCTACCTCCCATGATCCCCACCCCCAGGCCCGGCTTCCTCACGCAGGTCCCTGTGGGGGCAGTTGCAGCTCCTCCACTCAGGCAGGTGCAAGGAATAGAGTGGACACTGACAATCATTCTGCATTTGGGGCAAGGAATTCCCCCTCCCCACTCAGTCGCACACATATACACGCACCCAAGAACTCCTTATTTCCTGGGGACCACAATGGCTCTCCTTATCCGACAGAAGAACAAAACCTTTTTAAGCCTCAGCCTGTAAGATCAGTGCCAGCCTATTTCCAGGCACTTGTAAGAATCCCTTTCATTACCATCAGCTCCTCTTTCTGCCATGGCCATGTTGTAAGGCTTTTCTTGAGCCTCCCTTTTCTCTCCCTGCACCTTGGACTTGTGCTTCTCCAACCCCCTGTCGCTCTTTCAGTTCGCCTCTTCCTGCTTTTGTCCTTCCTTTCATGGTTAACATTGATCTCTGCCTGGTGGGTTTTGTGAAGTTTCCTGGTATGAATCTTTCATCTTCAACCTCCCTTATCTGTGGTTATTTTAATAGTAGCACCTTGTGGGAGGATCCATTCTCACTCCTCAGACCTAAAAAGTTCCTTTCTGATGTATCAGACCTGCCCAATTTCTATAAATATCGATTCATCAATTTGTTTACTTTGTTGACTTTATCCTTCTTCCAGTCTTGTTCAACGTTACATCCCTAGGCCGGGCGCGGTGGCCCACGCCTGTAATACCAGCATCATCTGAGGTTAGGAGTTCGAGACAAGCATCACCTGAGGTCAGGAGTTTCAGACTAGCCTGACCAACATGGCGAAACCCCATGTCTACTAAAAATACAAAAATTTTCCAGGCGTGGTGGTGGGCACCTGTAATCCCAGCCACTCGGGAGGCTGAGGCACGAGAATCGCTTGAACCCGGGAGGTGGAGGTTGCAGTGAGCCAAGATTATGCCACTGCACTCCACCCTGAGTGACAGAGTGAGACTCTATCTCAAAAAAAAAAAAAAAAAAAACACCGACAACAAAAAAATTACATCCCTAGTACCCGGCTGGGACAGTGCCAAGCATATAGTAGCCACTCAATAAATATTTGCAGAATGTGTTAAATCCTCTTCTGTAAAATGGGGTTCTCAGTAGTATCTACCTTGGGGTTATTGGGAAGAGTAAATGAGTTAATACATGTAAAGCACCTAGAACTGTGTCCGGCATGAGGTGAATTTTCTATAAATGTGATCTACGGCCATCATTATTCACCACAAATCCAGTGTGTACTAGAGGGGAGAAATGGGAAACACGTAATTCCAGCAGGTGAGGCAGCCTGACAAGCTTCTACAGAGAGGCAGGAATGAGAGACTGTAGGATCTCCAGGATTACAGCAACGATCCCCACCTGGGGGAACTGGGAAAGGCCAAGCTAGGAATTGAGGGCTGACTTGGAGACGGTTAGATGAGAAGTGGGAAAGGGCTTTTCAGGCATGTAACCGAAGTGCAGAGAGGGAGGCTGAGGAAGGCTGGAAGGGTACTTTCAGACCAGACAGGTAAAGACTAAGCACATTACACTGAGCGTACAATTAAAATAAAACAGAGGAAGCTATCCACATGGGCTATTCAGGACTCTGTCCTCAAAATATCCCTAAATTAGACTCTCCCTTTCCTGGACTAATCTCAAGGTCCAGTAGAACTTCCTCTTTTCAGAAGCATGGCTGGAATTTCACAAGGGAACAGTCATTTTTTTCTAAACTGCTCCCTAAAACTGGTGATTTTTCAACTATTTTTAAGGTATATATTGACATGACAAAACTTAAGACTATTATTAAAAAGGATTTTAGGCAAAGCAGAGTACAGTCCACAATCAAAGCAATATGGCCAGATTATAAACATCATAGATATTCATTTGCCAAACTTTCTGCCTTTCAAACTAAGGGCGTCTTGAGACAAAGTCTCAATAATTCACTTATTCAACAAATATTTAATGACCATCTACCATGTGCTAAGCACTATTCTGGAATTTGGGGCTAAATAACTGAACAAAACAGCAAAAAATCCATGCCCTTATGGAGCTTTATTCTAGGGGTAAATCATTTTTAACTTACTACTGATATAGGCATATGTGGGATCTTTGCCACAACAATATCTTGAATTTCCTATAAAGAGAGTTAATGCATTAAAACTTAAGCCAAGGCCAGGTGTGGTGGCTCACATCTGTAATCCTAGCACTTTGGGAAGTGGAGGCAGGAAGATCACTTGAGGTCTGGAGTTCAAGACCAGGCTGGGCAACATAGTGGGACTCTGCCTCCCCAAAAAAAAAAAAAAAATTAATTAGCCATGTGTGGTGGTGCACACCTATATAGTCCCAGCTATCCAAGAGGCTGAGGAGGGAAGATCCCTTGAGCCCAGGAGTTCAAGGCTGCAGCGAGCTGTGATTGCACTAGTGTACTCCAGCCTGAGCAACAAAGCAAAACCTTGTCTCCAAAAACAAACAAACAAACAAAAAAAACTTAAACCAAGAGGCATATGGAGGGTAGAAGAAATTAAGAAAACTTGGCCAGGCATGATAGCTCCCACCTGTAATCCCAGCACTTTGGAAGGTCAAGGTGAGCGGATCGCTTGAGCCCAGGAGTTCGAGACAAGCCTGGGCAACACGGAGAAACCCCATCTTTACAAAAAATACAAAAATTAGTTGGGTGCAGTGACATGTGCCTGTAATCCCAGCCACTTGGGAGGCTGAGGCAGGAGAATTGCTTGAGCCCAGGAGGCAGAGGTTGCAGTGAGCCGAGATCGCGCCACTGCACTCCAGCCTGGGCAACAGGACTGAAAGCCTGTTTCAAAAAAATAAAAAGGAAAACTCAAGTAGGAATACGGCAAGATGAATCCTTTCATCAACCCATTCCCCCATTTCTGGTTTCCCATACTTGGCTCTATCCAAAGTCAGATCCATATTCTCACCTTGTTCTTCACAGCATCCTTCAGCCAAACACTGGCAGACCGTACCAGTTAGGATGTATTCAGCTGCAAGTATCAGAGAACTCAACAACGAAGTTTTAAACCGTGTGGACATTTATTGAAAGTGGTCTCCGTTTGCCTGAGCAGCCCAACTATGTCATCTTGGCACATTTTTTCTTTTTTCTTTCTTTTTTTTTGAGACAGAGTTTCACTCTTGTTACCCAGGCTGGAGTGCAATGGCTCAATCTTGGTTCACAGCAAACTCTGCCTCCCGGGTTCAAGTGAGTCTCCTGCCTCAGCCTCCCAAGTAATTGGGATTACAGGCATGTGCCACCACACCCAGGTAATTTAGAATTTTTAGTAGAGAAGGGGTTTCTCCATGTTGGTCAGGCTGGTCTCGAACTCCTGACGTCAGGTGATCTGTCTGCCTCGGCCTCCCAAAGTGCTGGGATTACAGGCGTGAGCCACCGTGCCTGGCCTTTCTTTCTCTTTCTTTCTTTCTTTCCTTCTCCTTTCTTTCTTTTCTTTTCTTTCTTTCTTCCTTTCTTCCTTCCTTCCTTTCTTCCCTCTTTCCTTCCTTCCTTCCTTTCCTTCCTTCCTTCCTTCCTCCCTTCTTTCTTTCGTTCGTTTGTTCCTCTTTCTTTTTTTCTTTTTTTTTTGACAGGGTCCTGCTGTGTTGCCCAGGCTGAAGTAGCTCACTATAGCCTCAAGCTCCTGGTCTCAAGCAATCCCCCTGCCTCAGCCTCCTGAGTAGCTCAGACTAAAGGCACACACCACCATACCCGGCTAATTTTTAAAATTTTGTTGTACAGGCAGGGGCTCACCATGTTGCCCAGCTCGCCTCAAACTCCTGAACTCAAGCAATCTTCCCCCTCAGTCTCCCAAAGTACTGGAATTACAGACATCAGCCATCATGCACAGCCCAGCCTGCATCTTTTTACCTTTCTACTCTTCCATTCTTAGTGTTTTGGCTTTCCTTCCACATACTTGCAGCATCATGGCCACAGGGTGACTGCTGTACCTTTAGACATTACCTCTGCATTCCAGATGGGAAAAAGAAGAGAAAGGTAACATCTCAATTTATCTCCTACATAAGGAAAAAACATGTTCCCAGAAGCCCCAAGTAGACCTCCTCTTCTCACTGGCCTGAGTCAGGTCACATGACCACATCTAGCCCAAGGGAGATTGGGAAATTCTGTACTTGGATTTCCTCCTTCCACAAGCAGAGGTAGCAAGATAAAGAAGCGGGTCAGAAATGGGTTGTGTAGGTAACAAACAGTGTCTGCCAGAAAAGCCCTCACAGAGAACCACAAGACATCAAGCTGAAGATTGCGCAAGCCATCTTAGGCTGGGAAATTTTTTAAAAGCTTTTAAAAATTGGCACATTTTAGGCTGAGTCCAAACATCGTGAGTTAGACCAGAATTAGGCCAGTCTTGGGAAAAAGTCTAGGCTGGAAACTCCCAACTGTAGGAAAAGCCTCTGTGTTCAGATGCATGGCTGCAGGCTCTGCAACACAGCCAGAAATTCAGGGAACACAGATGATGGGTTATATTGTGGAGTAAGGCAGAAGTATTATGTTAATGTGACTCATTAGTTGTTAAAAATTAAAAGCTAGAGGCCAGGCATGGTGGCTCACACCTGTAACCCCAGCACTTTGGGAGGCCAAGGCAAGTGGATCATTTGAGGTCAGGAGTTCGAGACCAGCCTGGCCAACAGGGTGAAACCCCATCTCTACTAAAAATACAAAAATTAGCCAGGCGTGGTGGTGGGCACCTGTAATCACAGCTACTCAGGAGGCTGAGGCAGGAGAATTGCTTGAACCTGGGAGGTGGAGGTTGTAGTGAGCCGAGATCATGCCACTGCACTCCAGCATGGCCGACAGAGCAAGACTTTGTCTCAAAAGGAAAAAAAAAAAAAAGCTAGAGGAAGACCAACTCAACTCACATCTCATCTTGATCACATAAGACCGTTGACTCAGGATACAATTTCATGAGATATAAGAATGGGATTGAGGAATAAAGTTCACTTTCCCATCAAGTGTGATCATTTCCCTGACCAGCTGAATAACATCTTTTATCCCAGTCACATGAACAGTTGCCTCCACCATCATTATGAGTCAAAGTGTCTCATTCATGCCAACTCATGGGGCTTTGGGCTCCCACACATGAAAAGTTGGAAAGTGACAATCCAGTCAAAACAGAAGTTTGGCATCTCACAGTAAAAAGGAAAATAAAAACCTCAGACAAAGTTTTGTTTGTGTCTCTTCACATGTGTTTGTGAGAAAACACACCCACACATAATGTCGAAAGGCCACACTGGCCTGATTGCATCCTAAGCCCAGGCATTTCTCTGTAGCTCTGACCACATTCAAATGTTTTAATTCAACAAGTGTTTATGGATTTCTACAATGCCTTTCTTTCATCTGGACAAGTTAAACCAAGCTGTTCTGTAAAGAGAATACAATTCATCATGATGCTGCTGTGTTTGGAGACAATTTTGGTAAAATGAGCGCCATCCTCTACAAGCTGTGAATTTACTCCTCTGTTCATCCATCCACGCATCTACTCATCCTCCTATCCACCTGTCTTTCCACCCATCTATCCATCCATCTACTCATCCATCCATTTATCCATCCATCTATCCATCTATCCATGCCACAAATATATCCATTCATTTCCTTGGGGCTTTCACTATCCTATCTTCTTCCTTGCTTAGCAGAGAAGGAGTTGCACCCTGTTAAGACTTCACTTTTCACATGGAATGCCTTGCCCACTTCTTCATTTTGTGAAATCCCACTAATCCTTAAAATCCAAGCTGGGCTCTCTTTTGGAAGACTCTTCATGGACCTCCACTGTCAGACCATAGTGTTCCATCTTAATTCTTATGGTACTTATGTTTTGTGTTCTTTTATTTTTATTTTCATTGTTTTCTTTTTTTTTTTGAGACAGAGTCTCGCTCTGTTACCCAGGCTGGAGTGCAGTGGCGTGATCTTGGCTCACTGCAAGCTCCGCCTCCCAAGTTCACGCCATTCTCTTGCCTCAGCCTCCCGAGTAGCTGGGACTACAGGCGCCTGCCACCACGCCTGGCTAATTTTTTGTATTTTTAGTAAAGACGAGGTTTCACCGTGTTAGCCAGGATAGTCTCGATCTTCTGACCTAGTGATCTGCCCACCTCAGCCTCCCAAAGTGCTGGGATTACAGGCGTGAGCCACCGAGCCCGGCCTGTGTTCTTTTATTATGTAGTAAATTGCTGTCTTCAACATCTCTTCACTGTTATTTTCCAGTGCTCTTGTCTCTTTTAATGGAAATATTCTGCATGATTTCTTACCTCCGCAAGTAAATTGTAAACACTGTGAGAAGGGAGACTCTGGTTTTTACTTCTTTGCAAGCTTCCTTCACAGCTGGCTTCTTGCCCAGTATTATGCAAATTATAGGCATCCAACCAATATACATACATTAACTGGGTGCCTAGTTTCCTCATCTGGGAAGTGGGGACAACGTTGGTGTTATAGAGATATTGTGGGGCTGGGCATGACGGCTCATGCCTGTAATCCCAGTAGGAGGCCAAAGTGGGCAAATGGCTTGAGCCTAGGACTTTGAGACCAGCCTGGGCAATATAGTGAGACCTCATCTGTACAAAAATAACAAATTAGCCAGGCATGGTGGCATGCACTTGTAGTCCCAACTACCTGGGAGGCTGAGGTGGGAGGATCACTTGAGCCTGGGAGGCAGAGATTGCAGTGAGCCGTGATGGTGCCACTGCACTCCAGAATGGGCAACAGAGCAGGATCCTGTCTCAAAGTAAATAAATACATAAATAAGTATTTAAAAATAAATACTGTGTTAATTGAGATAGCGTATAGTAAAGAGCTTCATGAACTGCAAAATCCTAAAGACATTATTACTGACAATAATACTGCTTTATTTGTAATAAAAATAAATAACAGTTAATAAGCACATGCTAAGTTACCTGCAATCTGAACGAATTCATGAACATTTCATTAGTACTTACAGGATCATTTTGTCCGGTACAAGGCACAGGCACTAAGCTAGAAGGTGGATGGAACATAGTCGTTGTCTTTAAGGGGCTCATGTTTTAGCAAAGAGGCAGAAACATAGGTGGCCTGTGATTGTGTATGAGGCTGCAGAAAGCACCATAACACAGACACAAAGTGCTCAGAAACGCTTAAGAGATTCCTTAATTCTGCCTGGAGGGATTAGGAAAAAATTTGTGGAAGGATTGTCAGTTGAGCTAAACTTGAAAGATGAGTAGAAGTATAGTAGATGGAGAAGGAGGAAAAGAATGTTCTAGGAAAGAAAGAACATAGATATGCAGGTGTGTATGGGGAAAAGGAAGCAGGATTGTCTGATGACGACCTGAAGTTCCTTGGGGAAAAGGGTAGACAGCAGATACTGAGAACCACGCCTGACCAGTAAACCATGAGCCCATCGGGAGCTTTGTGAACTGTATTAAGGAATGTGAGCTTGATTCCAAAGACAATACAAAACCACAGAGGAGGAAAATGATTGGATTTGTATTTCAGCTAAATGACTAGCAGTGGCAATGCTCTCTGCTGCAAATAGTAGAAACTCAATCACAAACCATAAGAACGCATATTGTCTCACCTAACTGGAAGTTGATGGGGAGGCAGGCTGCAGGCACAGCATAATCAACCCCTCTAATACGCATGCTCCTTTCACGACACTTACTATTGGCTTATTCTTGGATGGTTGTAAAATGGTCATTCCAGTAACACATCCAGGCACAACTAAATTCTGATGCATCCACCCAGGAGACACCACTCTCCCGTCGCCACCCAGTCTCATTAGGCACACAGTCCTGGGACAAGACAAAGCCATTGGCCATGGCTATACTCAAGGAGAAGACAGGAGGCAAGGAGATGAACTGAGAAGACAGTGCAGATCACTGGCATAAAGTAATAAAACCCAGACCAGAGATGTGGCTGTGGGCACGAAGAGGGAAAAACAACTTGCAACTTATCTGATGTGGAAGAGCCAGGAGTTGAGAATGCTCAAAGCTTCCAACCTTGGGTGTCAAAGTGCTTAGTGTTCTGTTGCCTGAGGTAGGTGTCTGGGTGGTCACTTGGTGATACGGTTTGGTTGTGTCCCCGCCCAAATCTCATCGTGAATTTTAGCTCCCATAATTCCCATGTGTTGTGGGAGGGACCCGGCAGGAGATAATTGAATTTTGGAGTCAGTTTCCCCCATACTGTTCTCATGGTAGTGAATAAGTCTCACAAGGTCTGATGGTTTTTTTTTTTTTAGACAGCCCAGGCTGGAGTGCTGTGGCACGATCTCTGCTCACTGCAAGCTCCACCTCCTGGGTTCACACCATTCTCCTGCCTCAGTCTCCTGAGCAGCTGGGACTACAGGCACCCACCACCACACCCGGCTAATTTTTTCTGTATTTTTAGTAGAGACAGGGTTTCACCGTGTTAGCCAGGATGGTCTCGATCTCCTGACCTCATGATCTGCCTGCCTCGGCCTCCTAAAGTGCTGGGATTACAGGCATAAGCCACTGCACCCGGCCCCTAGATCTGATGGTTTTATAAGTGGGAGTTCCCCTGCACAAGCTCTCTCTTGCCTGCCACCATGTAAGATGTGACTTTGCTCCTCCTTGCCTTCCACCATGATTATGAGGCCTCCCCAGCCATGTGGAACTGTGAGTTAATCAAACCTCTTTCCTTTACAAATTACCCAGTCTTAAGTATGTCTTCATTAGCAGTGTGAGAACATACTAAAACACTTGGCATGCCCCCCAAGGCCTGCCAGACAAAGACTGCGAAAGAGGCTTCACCCAACATCCCTCTTTCCTGAAGAGCCAATATAGTGCTGTGGTTAAAGGGCTGACTCATGTTATGCCACCTGTTTTCCATGCCTTATGAGCTGAGAACCCGGGGTAAATTCTCATTTCCTCATTAGTGAAATGAGTATAATAATGCTTAGCTCATAGGTTCTTATGTTGAGGGGTGAACATAGAACCTGGCATAGACAAGACATCATGAAATGATAAGGAAGGAGACCAGTTTTAGCCATTGTTCAGTCACTTACTCACTGTATGATCTAATCCAACTACTCAGCCCACCAAACCTTAATTTACTCATCTATAAAACAGGGGAAATACCTACTTATGGGGTTGCTGAATTAGGGAAATATGGCAAGTGCTAATGTGGAATTTTGGTGGTTTTTTTGGCTGTCCAACTGAGAGAGACAGAGCCCTCTTCCAAGTGGAAAACCCTGGCTACTCCTCTCCCAGCCTCCCTTGAAGCTGAGGCATGGCCAGGTCACCTAGACTCAGTCAATCATATGTACATGCTCCTCAGCCTTGAATGAGCGTGGAGAGGGGAATTGGAGCAAGGAAAGAAGAACCAGGTGGTGTTAGCAGTGACAGTAACATGCAGTTTCATGGCCAGAGTGGCAGTGGTGCCAGCCTTAGTGTCCAGTGTCCAGGCCTGAGAGGTCTGGACTGAGCGCACAGTTTGGTTTCTAGTGCTATCTTTTTTTCTTTTACTGAACCAGTTCTGTGGCGTGATTTTTGCTGTTCTCTGACTGTAGAGCACCATTTTGTTCCTGCCTATTTGCTCCACCTGGTTATCCAATCTTCCTGAGAAATCTATGAACTACCCCAATAGCCTTAAAACGGGTGAGGATTTTTTCTGCTTTAATCAGCTTCAGTCATTTTCTGTGCTTGTGACTAGGAATCCTGACGACACCAGGGCCCAGCATAATGCCTAGAACATAGTGGGAGTTTAATATTGGTTCTTTTTCCCTCTTGACTCCTTATTCTGTGATTGTTTCCTTGCACCCAAGTTTTGTCCTAACTACATGGTGCAATAATCAGGGGAAAGAAAACCTCTCCTTTGTAAAGAAAACACTCCATTCCATAATCATTTGCTCACTGTTTCCCATGAAAGTTCATTCCACAGCCTAATAAACCTGAGTTGGAGAGAGTGAGCAGCAAGATAATGTTTTTAAATGTTTAAAGTTTCCAGGGCAAACATAAACTTGATCACCAAGTCCCAAAACAAAGACAGTCAGCGGACATCTGTGAATGGTTAGAAGCAGAATTGGGGGGAGGAGGGGGGACTAAGAAATAGAATGACTCATTTGCATGATAATGGTCTCTAGGATTCATAAACTGATGGATCTCATTACCCAGAAGAGGTAGAGTATAAAAATATAGATGAGTTCATGAAAGGTTTGTTTAATTCATGGGTACTGGAACCATATTTGGTGTTAAAGAGGACACTGGGGAGTTCTAGGGGGCACACCTTTAATCTTGGGTGAAAACTGCCACTGGTTTTCACAAAACACACTAAGTATGACTCAGAGATGGAATATTGGGCTGACTGTTACTGAGGAACCACAGAACTCATTTAGTCTACACCTCCTTCCCCACAATCCCCACCAGTCTAACATGGGGATCTCCCCACAGCAGCCTAGGCAAGGAGTTATCAATCCTTGACCATTCAGCCTCTGCTGAAGTCCTTCAGTGATGAAGCAAACGGTCGGCCTGGCAGAGTGAAGTGGCAATGTGTTGGCATGTGTTGTTTCTGGCTCCAGAATTCATTCTCCATCTTATAGAAGCAGCTCTCTCATTCACTTTTGCTCTCTCTCTGAAATGATCTCTTCCCCACTACATAAGATCTTAAAGGGGCCAGGCACGGTGGCTCATGCCTGTAATCCCAGCACTTTGGGAGGCCGAGGCGGGTGGATCACGAGGTCAGGAGTTTGAGACCAGCCTGGCTAACACGGTGAAACCCCATCTCTACTAAACATACAAAAAATTAGCTGTGCATGGTGGCAGGTGCCTGTAATCCCAGCTAATTGGGAGGCTGAGGCCAGAGAATAGCTTGAACCTGGGAGGCGGAGGTTGCGGTGAACTGAGATCGCACCACTCCACTCCAGCCTGGACGACAGAGTGAGACTCCGTCTAAAAACAAAATCTTATAGGGACTGTCAATGAAGTAGTCCTGCCTTCCCTCGGCCAAGCCAGGTTCATCACACTCTTACTCCGTTAACTTTGGACGTTGGGTGCAGTTATGTCAAGACCTTTTGAAGAGAAGTAGGGCTAATTTTTGCCAACAGAAACATCCCATTTACTTGTTCCTTCTATCTGGAATCCTAGACGTCTTTTGCTTCTGTGATTTTCCAAACCCAAGTCCCCTCTATGAGCTGCTCCAAATTATAGAATAATTCAAATTATCCTTGAATAATTGTTTTCCTGAATATGTTAACTGGAGTCTATTTCTATTGTTTGCAACCAAAGAACCCTAAGATATTTAACTCATAATGGCAATAGTAACAGTGCCGAGTAGTTAGAAAGTTGTTTCCTATATCATAATGAACTCTTCCTCCACGGGATTTCCAGCAGTTTATTCTGGGACTTTTTGCTAGAGCAGCTCTTTGTCAATAGTCTTCATAAGACTGCCATTGGGACATTTGAAGACAGAGTACTTTTCCTTAATTATCTCCTTTTAAAAACATAAATCATCATGATTTCTCAACAGTTACTTGTAGAACATAGTTTTCAAATCCAACAACATCCTGGGGTCTCTCCTCTGAACCCTTAAAATGTGATTCCTATTAGGAGCATATGAAGAGTGTAATGGGATCATCACTTCTTCCAGTCTCCTAATGTCATAAATGATCACTTTTTAGCATCAACATTATTACATTGCTGGATTAGATGAAATGTATTATCAACTAAAACTCATTTTTCTAAATCCATCGCTGCTTCATCATGTAAGCAACACATAATCTTTGTAGAAAATTAGAAAATCTAGGGACGAGTGTGGTGGCTTACACCCATAATCCCAGCACTTTGGGAGGCTGAGGCGGGTGGATCACCTGAGGTCAGGAGTTCGAGGCCAGCCTGACCAACATGGCGAAACCCCGTCTCTACTAAAAAATACAAAAATTAGCCGGGCGTGGTGGTGCACACCTGTAATCCCAGCTACTCAGGAGGCTAAGGCAGGAGAATCGCTTGAACCCGGGAGGCGGAGGTTGCAGTGAGCCGAGATTGTGCCGCTGCATTCCAGCCTAGGCAACAGAGTGAGACTCCGTCTCAAAAAAAAAAAAAAAAGAAAAGAAAATTAGAAAATCTAAATAAACAAAAGACAAATAGAAAACTCTTACAACCCAATCTCCAATGGTATTTACTATGAACATATTATTTTGAAACCTTCCAGACCATTTTCTATGCTTATTATAGTGTCTTTTCTTTTTTTTTTTTTTTTTTTTTTTTGAGATGGACTCTCGCTCTGTCACCCAGGCTAGAGTGCAGTGGTGCGATCTCGGCTCACTGCCAGCTCCACCTCCCGGGTTCATGACATTCTCCTGCCTCAGCCTCCCGAGTAGCTGGGACTACAGGTGCCTGCCACCATGCCTGGCTAATTTTTTGAATTTTTAGTAGAGACGGGGTTTCACCATATTAGCCAGGATGGTCTCAATCTCCTGACCTTGTGATCCGCCCATCTCAGCCTCCCAAAGTGCTGGGATTACAGGCGTGAGCCACGACGCCCGGCCTATTATATTGTCTTTTCTATTGGAATTATAATATTCCAATGCATGTTGTATATTTTGCACCCTCTGGAGAGACATGTGGGTTATTTATGGGTTTTGCATGCTTTATTTCATTTTTGCTACTATAAACAATGATTGGATAAACATTCTATACATATTTTTACATATATTTGTCTGATGATTTCTTAATAACTGAGAGATAGACTTGCTAGGTCAAAAGATGTGTTTTGTTATGAAGCTTTTGATTGTATTTATACCAAATTACCCTCCAGAAACCAATTTAAACTCCCATCAACAGGTTATAAAAGGCTAAGACTCCTAGAATTTTCACAGGAGATCTTGTCAACCCAGCTGCCCTTATCCTATAGCAATAATTGATTTTAAGATAAGTGTAATACTGTGAATAATGCAAATAAAGGTGACTCACAGACCCAGTGACAGCTTGGGTAACAACCTCTTGAGAGACACTAGAGCTACCCAGATAAGGTACTGCCAAATTTCTGAACTACTGTGAGATAACAAATAATTGTTTAAAGATGTTGTATTTTGGCTGGGCACGGTGGTTCATGCCTATAGCCCAAGCAGTTTAGGAGACCAAGGCAGATGGATCACTTGAGCTCAGGAGTTTAAGACTAGCCTGGCCAACATAGTGAGATCCCATCTCTAAAAAATAAAAATTCTTTTTAAATTAGCCAGGCGTGGTTGCATGCACCTGTGGTCCCAGCTACTCGAGAGACTGTGGTAGGAGGATCACTTGAGCCCAGGAGGTCAAGGCTGCAGTGAGATTTGATCATGCCACTTCATTCCAGCCTGGGCAACAGAACAAGATCTTGTCTCCAAAAAAGAAAAAAGAGAGAGAAAGATGCTTAAGTTTTGGGGTAATTTTGTATGCAGCAACAAATAACTAAAACAACATCTTCAGACTTTTTGTATTGGGTTGTTTTTCTCCTTCTTATTAATTTATAGAATTTTAATAAATATTCGAGACACTAATCTTTTGTTAGCTATAAGGGACACAAGTATATTCTCCCAACCTTTGGCTTGTCTTTTTACTTTATTTATGGTGTTTTTTAACATAATAAAGATTTAATGTTTAAGGTAATCAAAATTACCAGGTTTTTTCCTTTATAGTGTATGCTCTTTGAAGCTGATTTACGAAATCCTTCACTACCTTGGTGTAAAAAAGATAGTCTTCTAGACCAGGCGCCGTGGCTCATGCCTGTAATCCCAGCACTTTGGGAGGCTGAGGTGGGCAGATCGCCTGAGGTCAGGAGTTCAAGACCAACCTGCCCAACATGGTAAAACCCCATCTCTACTAAAAATACAAAAAAAAAAAAAAAATAGCTGGTCGTGGTGGCAGGTATCTATAATCCCAACTACTTGAGAGGCTGAGGCAGGAGAATCGCTTGAACCTGGGAGGCAGAGGTTGCAGTGAGCCGAGATCGTGCCATTGCACTACAGCCTGGGCGACAAGAGCGAAACTCCGTCTCAAAAAAAAAAAAAAAAAAAGATAGTCTTCTGTGTTTTCTCTTAAACATTTTAAAAGTTATCATTGTACTTTTCATTCTTTAATCAGTCTGGAAATAGTTGTTGAATTGATTTGGCCAAAACCCTTTGCCTCTTTAATTGCTCCATACCCTGGAATTGTCATTCCTATGACCCACTAGTCATTCCTTTTTGTGGATCAGCATCTCAACTCGATCTGTATGTCTTGAGAATCCTCATTCCCATAAGTCCCGGTAAAGCAGTGCCTGCCTCTCACTGTGGAAGCTTTTCACTGTTGATAATCTTTCCCAGCCTCTCTTGCCCCAAGGCGGTAAGACACATGACTTAGGATCTGTCAATCAAGACACATTCCTCTTGGACTTTGTGTTTTTTGTTTTGTTTTGTTCTTTGCTATTTGTATGTGTGTTTTTTGTTTGTTTGTTTGTTTTTTGAGATAGAATCTTGCTCTGTTGCCCAGGCTGGAGTGCAGTAGCACAATCTTAGCTCACTGCAACCTCCAGCTCCTGGGTTCAAACAATCCTTCTGCCTCAGCCTCCCTAGTAGCTGGGATTATAGGCACCCACCACAACACCTGACTAATTTTTGTATTTTTAGTAGAGACAGGGCTTCACCGTGTTGGTCAGGCTGGTCTTGAACTCCTGACCTCAAGTGAGCCACCCCCCTTGGCTTCCCAAAGTGCTGGGATTACAGGCATGAGCCACCGTGTCCAGCGTCCTCTTGAACTGTGAATGATGCAAAGTGATAACTGATGATGCAAAGAATCATCAGTGATTATGAAGCAGTGCCTTTCCAGCCTGGGTGCCCTTTGCAATCACCTTAAAGTCTTGTTGAAGTGCAGGTTGCTAGGTCCCACCCCAGAGTCTGATTCAGTAGGTCAGGGAAGGGGCGTGAGAATGCGCATGTCTAAGACTCTTCCAGGTGATGCTGAGGCTGCTGAGTGGAGGAATACCCTTTCAGTAGAGTCACATCTCTGGTGACGATTGTGGCAGGGGCAAGACCAGGCTCCCAGGACAGCAGAGTTGCTGCTGTACCCAGTGTCAGTGGTGGAAGCTGGGTCAGTTCTGTGGTGGGATTTGGGGCATTGTTTCTGGCTGGGTAGCTGTTGACATGGGTCCTCCAGCCCTCCTGGCAATTCTGTGAGCTACCCCTGTACTCTCTAAATAGATTCCCTTGCTGCTGAAATCAGCCAGTTAGTTTCTGTTGCGTGCAACTAAGAATGCTGGCTGATTCAGGACTCGTTTTGTTGTCTTTTAAAACTTCCCTTGAAACCTAAACCATCCTTGAGTCTTTCCTTTCTCTTCTAGATTTGCACTGTTGTTTTGCATCCCTGGGATTTATGCCACTTAATGCATCTTTAGTACATGTCTGTTAAAATATATATGTTATTTTTTCTTATTTCAAGAATAATATATGCTTACTACAAACATATTTGGAAAATAAAAGAAGGCTCAAAGAAGCAAATTTAAAATCATCTTTAACCTCACCACCAGAGACAATCGTTATGAATATTTTGTTATACTACTTCCAGGTTTTTTTATACATATACATACTTTTTTATATATTTGGGATGATACTATACATATTGTTTTATAACTCCTCCCTTTTAAAATTCCAACTGTATAAGTAAATATTTTCCTCTGTCAAAATGTATTCCACAAGATGGTTTGCAATGGGGACATAGCTTCCAGCTTATGAAGTACTGTGATTTATTCAGCTAATCCCTGACATTTGACATGCAGGTTGATTCAAATGGGTCACTATTATAAATAACACTGCCAACTTCTGATTCAAAATGGCACATTTTGAATTGGTTAGCAATTCCTACTATAACCTCTCCAAATTCTCAAAACTTTCTTCATTCAACAAATATTTCTTGAATGTCTACCATGTGTCATGCACTGTTCTAATTGCTGAGGATAAAGAAACGAACAAAATAGAGAAGAACCCCTACTTTCATTGTAGCTTACAATGCAGTGGGGTGAACAGTAATAATACTATGTGTCAATAATACATACACAAACATACAATATGTTAATAATATACTAATAATAAAATAATAATGATGACAGCTACCACTTATTAAATGTTTGCCATCTGCCAGATATTACGCTAAGCCCTTTCTGTGCAGTTAATCCTGAGGCCCTATTATCATCTCTGTTTTTCAGAAAACACCCCTGATTCTTTAACTTACTCCCACCCCACTATTAATGCAGGCAGACGTGGTGCTGAGTCAGTTAAATCTGACCCTTCCCCCAAAGCCTATGATCTTAACTGGTGGCTGCAAGAAGATGCTACATCATGGAGCAATAGAATCCCAGGTGAGCCTGATTTTTGTTTTTTTTGTTTTTTTAGTTCATGTCTTTTATTAACTCATACAATTACTTGTCTTCTGGTTTGTTGACGCAGTAAGTCAGACAACATTTGCCACAATAATGTCCGTCAAAGTGGCTTGCTGTAAACACTCCAACACCACATTCATCAGAAGGGCACCCACGACGAAGGCAACTAATTTTTCCATTCTCAACCACCTTATGATATTTCAGGACAGCCAGCTTAACCTTCTTTCTCTTGTGCTTATTCTTCTTGGGAGTGGTGTAAGACTTCTTCTTCCTTTACTTAGCACCACCACGCAGTCTCAACACAAAATGAAGAGTAGACTCTTTTTGAATATTGTAGCCAGACAAAGTACATCCATCTTCCAGTTGCTTGCCAGCAAAGATCGGTCTTTGCTGATCAGGAGGAATTCCTTCCTTATCCTGGATCTCGGCCTTTACATTTTCTATCGTATCCAACGGTTCAACCTTGAGGGTGGTTGTCTTCCCCGTAAGGGTTTTCACGAAAATCTGCATTTTGGTGGCGGCTCCACTGCAGATGGCGGATCGAAAAGGAAAGGAGAACCTGTTTTAATGAAGGAGGTAGACCACGATCTGTGCTTGTCAAACTTCACTTCAGCTGTAGACTAAGAAGGCACAGGACTATTCACAGGCAATTTGCCTTCTACCTGTTGATAAATATCAGATCATATTTTGTGCATGAGTGAATTAAGAGAACAAAACCATCATGAGATCTATAAAAAAATACAGAAAGAAAAAGATGCGTGATTGGGACGCAGAGAAAGAGCAAAGCACTGGAAACCATCCATTGTCAGATCAATAAGAACATGTCAGGAAACTTTTTTGCATAGGGCACCAAAAGACATGGCCTTTCTGAAACATAAAATCATTAGGAGAAAACAAACTCAGATGAAAAAGCGGCAGGCTTAGATAAATGAAAGTAGCATTAAAAGGGTAATAAAGAAGGGTTATAAGGAAACTAAAAACAAAAGCAGATTAAAATTCGTAATTCCCTTATAAAGGGTAGAATTGATGCTGCCAAAAAAAAATACGATCAGACAATACCTTATATTGGTGAGGACCTGAGACAGCTGGAACTCTTGCACATTTGTTGTGGGAAACAATTTGGCAATATCCACTACAACTGAAAATGCACATACCCTATGGCCACGCAATTCCACTCCCAGACAGACACCCTAGGGCAGTGGGTCCAAATATTGTTGAATGTTAGCATCCCATGATGGTTGGTTGTTTTTTTTCCTCCCCCCGAGACAGTCTTGCTCTGTCTCCCAGGCTGGAGTGCAATGGCATGATCTCGGTTCACTGCAACCTCCGCCTCCCGGGTTCAAGTGATTCTCCTACCTCAGCCTCCCGAGTAGCTGGGATTACAGGAACCAGCCATCATGGCTGGCTAATTTTTGTATTTTTGTAGAGACAGTGTTTCACCATGTTGACCAGGCTGGTTTTGAACTCCTGACCTCAGGTGATCTGCCTGCCTCGCCTTGGCCTCCCAAAGTGCTGGGATTACAGGCATGAGCCAATGCGTGTGGCCAGATTCCCATGCTTTTTTTCTTTCTTTTTTTTTTATTGTTATACTTAAAGTTCTGGAATACATGTGCAGAGCGTGCAGGTTTGTTACATAGGTATACAAGTGCCATGGTGGTTTGCTGCATCCATCAACCCGTCATCTACATTAGGTATTTCTCTTACTGCTATCCCTCCCCTAGCTCCCCATCCCTCAATAGGCCCCAGTGTGTGATGTTCCCCTCCCTGTGTCCATATGTTCTCATTGTTCAACTCTCACTTATGAGTGAGAACATGCAGTGTTTGGTTTTCTGTTCCTGTGTTAGTTTGCTGAGAATGATGGTTTCCAGCTTCATCCACATCCCTGCAAAGGACATGGATTCATCCTTTTTTATGGCTGCATAGTATTCCATGGTGTATATGTGCCACATTTTCTTTATCCAGTCTATCACTGATGGGCATTCAGGTTGGTTCCAAGTCTTTGCTATTGTGAACAGTGCTGCAATAAACGTATGCATGCATGTGTCTTTATAGTAGAATGATTTATAATCCTTTGGGTGCATGTGTCTTTATATTTCATGTGCATGTGTATATACGTGTGCATGTGTCTTTTTAGTAGAATGATTTATAATCCTTTGGGTATATACCCAGTAATGGGATTGCTGGGTCAAATGGTATTTCTGGTTCCAGATCCTTGAGGAATTGCCACACTGTCTTCCACAATGGCTGAACTAATTTACACTCCTACCAATGGTGTAAAAGCGTTCCTATTTCTCCACATCCTCTCCAGCATCTGTTGTTTCCTGACTTTTTAATGATCGCCATTCTAACTGACATGAGATGGTATCTCATTGTGGTTTTGATTTGCATTTCTCTAATGACCAGTGATGATGAGCTTTTTTTCATATGTCTCTTGGCCGCATAAGTGTCGTCTTTTGAGAAATGTCTGTTCATATCCTTTGCCCACTTTTTGATGGTTTTCATTTGTTTTTGTTTTTGTTTTTGTTTGAGGCAGAGTTTCGTTCTTGTTGCCCAGGCTGGAGTGCAATGGCACGATCTCGGCTCACTGAAACCTCCACCTCCCAGGTTCAATCAATTCTCCTGCCTCAGCCTCCTGAGTAGTTGGGATTACAGGCATGCACCATCACGCCTGGCTAATTTTGTATTTTTAGTAGAGATGGGGTTTCTCCATGTTGGTCAGACTGGTCTTGAACTCCTGACCTCAGGTGATCCACCCTCCTCAGTCTCCCAAAGTGCTGGGTTTACAGGCGTGAGCCACTGCGCCTGGCCAATCCCATGCTTTTTAAAATCCAGACTTGGCCCGGTGCAGTGGATCATGCCTGTAATCCTAACAATTTGGGAGGCCAAGGCAGGAGGATCACTTGAGTCCAGAAGTTTGAGACCAGCCTGGGCAACATAGCAAGACTCTGTCTCTGAAAAAAATAAATGTGTTTGAAAAAAATCAAATAAAATCCAAACACCAAAGTTAGACTCTGAACCAATTAAATCAGAATGTCCTGGGGGTGTGAACCACCTGTCAATAGTTTTTGAAGATCCTCACATCATTCCAATGTGCAGCCAATTTGGCAATGACTGCTCTAGAGAAATCTTTGCATGTGTGCACCAGATAACATCTTCTAGAATGTTTACAGAAGTATTGTTCGTAATTGCTGGAACTCAGAAATGTCTTAATATCCATGGACAGAACTGACACAATGTGGTGCATTTATACAATGAAATATTATACCACAGTAAAAAGGAATTAACTGGCGGGGCGTGGTGGTTCACCCCTGTAATCCCAGCACTTTGGGAGGCCGAGGCAGGTGGATCACGAGGTCAGGAGTTTGAGACCAGCCTGACCAACATGGTGAAACCCCATCTCTACTAAAAATACAAAAAAAAAAAAAAATTAGCCGGGCGTGTTGGTGCATGCCTGTAATCCCAGGTACTCAGGAGCTGAGGCAGGAGAATCACTTGAACCCAGGAGACGGAGGTTGCAGTGAGCCGAGATCGCGCCATTGCACTCCAGCTTGGACAATAGGGCGAGACTCCATCTCAAAAGAAAACAAAAAGGAATTAACTGCACCCATGCCCATCAATAAGGATGACTCTCACAAACATAATTGGGGTGGGGGGCAATTCACAGGAGAGCATATACAAATTGATGTTATTTACAGAAGGGAAAACTTTGCATAACTAAACATCACTAATCATCAGGGAAATGCAAGTCAAAACCACAGTAAGATCATATATCGCTCTAGTTAGGATGGCTATTATGAAAAAGACAAAAAATAACAAATGCTGATGAGGAGATAGAGAAAAGGGAACGTTTATGCACTGTTGGTGGGAATGTAAATTAGTACAGCTATTACGGAAAACAGTAAGGAGCTTTCTCAAAAAGCTAAAAATGGAACTACCATATAATCCAGCAATCCCACTACTGTGCATATATCCAAAAGAAAAGGCCAGGCGTGGTGGCTCACACCTGTAATCCCAGCACTTTGGGAGGCAGAGGCAGGTAGATCACCTGAGGTCAGGAGTTCGGGACCAGCCTGGCCAACGTGGTGAAAATCTGTCTCTACTAAAAATACAAAAATTAGCTGGGTGTGGTGGCAGGCATCTGTAATCCCAGCTACTTGGGAGCTGAGGCAAGAGAATCACCTGAACCCGGGAGGCGGAGGTTGTAGTGAGCTGAGACTGCACCACTGCACTCCAGCCTGGGTGCACAGAAAGACTCCATCTCAATAAACAAACAAACAAACAAGGTATTTTATAAGGATACACAGGCCATATGTGTGTTCATATATATCAAGAAATGCAAGAGGATGATAAGCACAAAACTCAGGATAGTAATCACCAGAAAGGAAGAGAAGGCTTCTAAGATGCTGGAAGTGTTTGATTTTTTAAGCTGATAATGGTAGCTTATTCCTTATACATATGTTATAAATATTATTTTGTGTATTTTAATTATTTAATTAAACCTTGAGAAAAGCATTTAAAAAAATTTTTTTTGAGACAGGTTCTCACTCTGTTACCCACGCTGGAGTGCAGTGGTACCATCATGGCTCACTGCAGCCTCAACCCCCTGGGCTCAAGCGATCCTCCCACTTCAGCCTCCCAAATAGCTGGGATTACAGGCATGGAGCACCAAACTCAGCTTGTGTGCGTGTATGTGTGTGTGTGTGTGTGTGTGTGTGTGTGTGTGTGTACACAGGATTTCACCATGTTGCCCAGGCTGGTCTCCAACTCCTGAGCTCGAGCAGTCTGCCCACCTTGGCCTTTCAAAGTGCTGGGACTATGGACATGAGCCACTGCACCTGGCAAAGTTTTTTAAAGATAAAGATTCGGCCGGGCACGGTGGCTCACACCTGTAATCCCAACATTTTTGGGGGCCAAGGCAGGCGGATCACCTGAGGTCAAGAGTTCAAGACCAGCCTGGCCAACATGGTGAAACCCCATCTCTACTAAAAAATACAAAAATGAGCCGGACGTGGTGGCGTGCGCCTGTAATCCCAGCTACCTAGGAGGCTGAGGCAGGAGAATCGCTGGAACCCGGGAGGCAGAGGCTGCAGCAAGCCGAGATTGCACCATTGCACTCCAGCCTGGGTGACAGAGCAAGACTCCATCTCAAAAACAAAAAACAAAACAAAAAAAAGATAAAGATTCATGCATAGGAGCCCTACTTGAAAAATTCTTCTAATATTCAAAGAAAAGAAACAAACAGAAAAAACAGTGATGAAAAGTGTAGCTATAGAAGAGAATAGCCATAATTATACATTTTCTGTCTGCAAGGAAAAAAATTTTAAATTCCTACTTCTTAAAATTAATTTATGTAATATTAGATTTAGATAAAAATTTTGTGAGCCAGGAACCATAAAGAAAAATAGTTTTAAGGCTGAACTACAAACAAAGATAAAATGACATCAAGGTTATTGAGTAAACACATTGGGATAAAGTGGTTGTAGACGTTTTCCCATGGCCTTGAATATTTCCTTAAGTAAGTTCTTGGAAGTAGCATTACTGACACATAAGAGATGTTCAATAAATAGTTGTTAATGCCAGGTGTGGTGGAAAATTTTTATAGTCCCAGCAATCAAGAGGCTGAGTTGGGAGGATCACTTGGCCCTCGGAGTTTGAGTCCAGCCCGGGCAACATAACAAGACTTCATCTCTATAAAAATAAAAATAAATAAATAATTGCAATTAGCATTTATGAATGAACATAGAGAATTCTGTAAAAATATACACCAAAATGTTGTCAGAGCTTACTTTTGAATGGTGGACTACACGGATTACTTCCTTTTGCTTTTTACTTTTCTCTATTATTTTCTTTTTCTACAATTCATACATATGACTTGTGTGATAGTAAAAAGAAAATGTGCTTTTATAAATACAAGAGCAAAGACTCAGACCCTTTCTGGGTCTTCCCTGGAAAAGCTCATGCTCACTGAAAACAGCTTGGCTAAATTCTAAACAACAAAGCTAAAAAGGATCTCTACTCCCAGGTTAGATTCCCACAATCTATGAACCTCCTTGTGGTAGCCAGCCTCCATGGCCCTCAAGGATCCCCACCTCCTGTTATCCATCCCCCATCCCCCTGTGTAACCCCTTCCATGTTGCATCCAGATGGTCGGTGAGACCAGCCCAGCAAGGCAGAAGTGATGGTATGTCACTTATGAGACTAGGGTTTTTTTTTGTTTTTGTTTGTTTTCTCTTTGAAGGCTTATTGTTTTATTTAAAAAAAAAAACTTATACCTTTTATATTTTACATTCACCTCTCAGAATATTTAATAGTACCCATTAATGATGTTATAAAAAAGACCACCAGCTGCTTGAAATGGCTGCAAATTTACCATGTTCTGGCATTAAAATGATTTCAACTCTTTGGAAAAATTAATGTAATAGTAAGTACCAAGATTTCAAATTCCCAGAAGAGAAAAAAAATTTTAAATCAGGAGGAAATTATTTAGTAAAAATTCAAGGATAAAAGGAAATGTTAGAAGGAAGCCAAAATCAAAAAAACTGTAAAAAATAGCATCTTTTCTCCAGAACTAGATTAAAAAATACAGTCAACCCCGCACTAAACCCACTCTGACTTCCATTTTTATTGTCCTCTCCCTGTCAGATCAGTCGCTCTGGGGGAAGCCAGCTACCACGTTGTGAACAGCCCTAGGGAAATGTCCATGTGGTAAGGAATGGAGCCTCCCGCCAACCGCCATGTCAGTGAGCCATCTTGGAAGTGGATTCTCCAGCCTCAGTCAAGCCTTCAGATAATGCAGTCCCAGCTGAGATCCTGACTGTGACCACATAAGAGACCTGAGCTAGAACCACTCGGGTTGGCCACACCCAAATTCCAGATCCTCAGAATCTGTGAGAGATAATAAAAGTTGTTTTAAGTGGCTACGTCTTGGAGTAATTTGGCCTTTCAAAAATAGATACCAAAATACACATCTAAACTGGGTTAGTTGCTTTTAGCACCAGGAAGAGATAAGGAAAAAGAAGAGAGGACAAGAAGGGATAAGGGCTCATCTTTGAGAGGGAGCAAGATTCCTTCTGAAGTAATTATATCGTCAATCATGTGCTACGGGGACCCTTGACCTGTCCCTCAAAATTGGAGAACTCCAAGGGAAGTGCCTATGAGGTAGAAGAGAGTCTGAAACCCAGAGCACATACTCCTTCATTTTCTTAAAGTACATATTAATAGTTGTCAACTCAACTATAGTGGAGCCCAGCATGAAGCTTGTGTGAGCAGTTGTGGGGTGGCACATCTGGGCACAACAAGTATCATACCGCATCCTCTGGAACATCATAGAAGGGGGCCTATGAAGTTTCCACCATGAACTAGGTAAAGTTGGGTAACTCAGGATAGTTACGCCAGTTGAGTAAGAAAGGGAATTGCTTGATGGGAGTTAGAGTGGCTGCGGCTCTGAAAACGTGGCCACTAGCCTTTGAAGGTCCACTGGGCTTAGGACCTTGGACAGAGACACATCACCTGGGCCACGACTTATACTGAGCATGACATCACAGCAGAATCCTACCTGGGACATCACCTAGGTAGAGCCAATCAAGCAACCAAATAACACTGAGGACCCAGTCAGATAGAGAAACGTGGCCTGGCCAAGAAAGGAGAGGTCTCCCTTCTCCACTTCCCACTAGGGGACACTTGGAGCAGCTATTGAGGGGCTGCAAGGAGGAAGAGAAGAGACAGCAAAGGACAAAGCTCTCCTCTGATGCCCAAGCTCGGAGTGGGGTTCTGAACCAGACAGTGGTGGAGGATAAAAATACCTGAACGGCGTGAAATGTTTACTCGAAATGAAACTATTTTAAACTGGAAATGACTGGACAGGGCTGGTATTTATAAGACTGGGCTAACTTCAGTTTTTCCGCTGCTGAGTGTGAAAAGGGATTTTTTAGCAAAAAGGAAGTGAGTTACAAAAATAACGCAAACTTCTTGTTGGCACATGGCTAAGTGGGGCCTGTTCAATTAAAGCAGTTAAATAAATAAATAAGCAATGAGACTTGAGCTGTGTGCTCCACCTCCTCTTGAATGCTAAGCTGATCAGAGGCCTCTGTGATCAGAGTGGCAGCTGCACTCCTCAAGCCCTTTGACAATCACAAATGCAGACATTTTTTGTGTAGGAATCTCCTGCCTCTTGCAAATACTATTCCTTCTTAAAGTCTAGACCAGCTACATTCAATGGAACTTTTTGTGATGGTGAAAATATCTTATATCAGCCAGGCATGGTGGCTCATGCCTGTAATCCTAGCACTTTGGGAGGCAGAAGCAGGAGAATTACTTGAGTCCAGGAGTTTGGGGCCAGCCTGGGCAACACAGTGAGATCTCATCTCTATAAAAAATAAACAAAATTAGCCAGGCATGGTGGTGCATGCCTGTGTAGTCCCATATACTCAGGAGGCTGAGGTGGGAGGATTGCTTGAGCCCCAGGAAGTCGAGGCTACATTGAACCATGATCATGCCACTGCACTCCAGCGTGGGCGACAGAACGAGACCCTGTCTCAAAAAAAGAAAAAAGACAGAATAAAATAAAATAAAATATCTTATATCTCCACTATCTAATATGATAGCCACAAGCCACATGTGGTTATTTAGGGACTGAATTTTAAATGTTATTTAATTTTCATTAGTTTTGATGTAAATAGTGACATATGACTGGTGCCACTACGTGGAACAATACAGTTCTAGGTGGAATTGTACATCTTTCTTTCTACTGAACTTCTGGAAATCTGGTTTCCTCATTGTGCAGTGCAGCGTTTTCTGTTTGTTTGCTACTGCAAACTCCAAAGTGACAGGGTCACTTTGGCTCAAAGCTTCTAATACTTCCACATCACCCACCAATTCTTCCGTAAGTATCCTCAGAACCAAATTTAGAATAACATTTACAATAATGTTTACATCTGGAAAGTTCGAGCACAGATTGGATACCTCAGAATATTAAGGAATAACTAAAATTACATATTGATATATTTACAGATAAAATGGTACAATGTCTGCAATTTGCTTTAGATAATAGAGTGAGGAGTGGATAGAGGAAACAAGACTGTTTGGTAATTGTTGAAGCTGTGATAGGTCCATAGGCATCCCTTAGAGTAGTCTACTTTACATAAGTATAAATATTTTAATTTTTAAAATTTAAGAGTTTTTGACAAAATGGGAAATTGCCTATATTATAAAATTAAGTGAAAGGGAAAAACAGGCTACAAAATTATAAATATACACTATAACAAGGAATTTATGTAGGTGGAAGCACAAATACAGAATGTAGTATAGTGGTTAAGAGCCCAGATGGCTTAGTTCAAATCCTGGCTCTAGCACCAACTTGGCTCTGTGATCTCAGAGAATTTTTTTTTAGCTTTACTAAACCTCAGTCTTCTTATCCACAAACTAAGGATCATACAAGAATGCACCTCTTAATGCTGTAGAGATTAAATGAGCCTATTTATTAAATACTTAGCCAACATCCGGCACACAGTACAAATCCAATTGCTTATCTTTGAGGAATAGATGTATGAGTGTCACCACTGTATTATCGAATCTTCCACCAGAAGTATGTCTTTCTTTTATGTTCAAGGGAAAAATATAGTTTTTAAAAGAAAGGAAAACAGAACAGCTTACTCCATTGCTACTTCCGTGTTCTGAGAAACTGTTAGCAAAGTAAGATAATAATTTATCAGATGTTCTAAACTTTAGCAAAAGAAGAATTCCAGCTTATGTCTGCATAACTGGAATTCCTAATGAAACTCTTTCATGGCTTGGGGATGTGTGTTAGGAAAGCATCTTCTCCAGGCTTCCTCTGGCCCCATGTTGGGTGGAGTCTTGTTTCTGTGGTTGTCCTCCCTATTCCTGACCCCAAAGCTTTCCATACTGACAGGCAGACCACTTAGTAACTTCCTCACAGATAATGCTATACAATATTCCCTTTCTATTGGACTTGCATCTTTCAAATAAAATACATCCTTCCATTGTCACTTTCCAGTTATGATTCCCCTCCTAAGTAGCAATGATGCTAATGAAATTATAGCTTTCTTCTTCTTTCAGTAGTATGAACATCTTACCTTATCCATTTCCCCCACACCCTTTGCACTGGGAGATGGATGTGTAAGACCATAAATAAAGTTCCCATCCTGTTGCCTTTATTTTTGCCCAAGAATAACTGGGCACTGTATCTTTCTTTTCTTTTTTTTCTTTTCCTCTTTCTTTCTTTCTTTCCTTCTTCCTTCCTTCCTTTCTTTCTTCCTTTCTTTCTTCTTTCTCTTTCTTTCTTTCACAGAGTTTTGCTCTTGTTGCCAAGGCTGGAATGTAGTAGCATGATCTGGGCTCACTGCAACCTCTGCCTCCCCGGTTCAAGCAATTCTCCTGCCTCAGCCTCCCGAGTAGCTGGGACCTACAGGCACCCACCACCACACCTAGCTAATTTTTTGTATTTTTAGTGGAGATGGGGTTTCACCATGTTGGCCAGGCTGGTCTCGAACTCCTGACCTCAAGTGATCCACCCGACTCGGCCTCCCAAAGTGCTGAGATTACGGGCATAAGCCACCGCGCCTGACTCATCCTGTTTCTTTCTAATCACAAAGACTGTTTTACATTTTCTCAACTATCATTGTACATTACAGTAACCAAACTGAAATTACATTAAACCAGATTGATGGGAGAGAGAGAATTTAAAGGTATAGATTCACATAACTAAAAAGTCCAAGAGGTACGGTTAGCTTCAGACATGGCTAAATCCAAGTGCCCTAATGTTTTCAGGAATTTCTGTCTCTCCATCATTAGACTCAGCTTTCTGCTGTATTCATTTCATTCTCAGTCTCATTCGAGCTCGGTCTCACGCTAGCTATCATCGTAACAACTCTAAGAAAGCATATCTCATTCCTAATCATTTGAGCAAAGTCCCAGAGAAAACTCTCATTGGTCCAGGCTGAGTCACGTGTCCACCTCTGAATAAATCACTGAGATTTTGATAGACTCTTACCAAGTTGCATATTCACCCATGAAGCCAAAGGATGTGTCGACCCTCTTCAGCTGCATAGACTATGAAAATGCCTGGTTTTCCTTCAGAAATAAAGAGGTTATTAAAAGAAGATGGCAAAAGAATGCTGAGCAGACAAAAACAACAGCTGTTTACTATGTAGCCCACAGAAATCTTTTAAGTGTCCTTTGATGTCATTGGGTAATCTGCCCAGCACATTCTTCCCCGACTTTGCGGTACTCTCTGTGTTTTGCCAGTAGCCTTGTACTCTAGCATCTTGGGCTCTGGCCCAGGAAATGAAATCCTCACCAACACCATCAACATCTTTTGCTCACCAGCTGCTCACTCCCAACATCTTTTCTCTTCTCCCCAAAGTCGCAGCCATCAGCCAGATGAAAAGATGGAACGGCCCCAAATCCTTCAATGTCCTTCTCAGAACTTTAAAACTTCCAGACACATATTTCAAATTTATTTGGACTGTGCCATTTATCCGCACATGAGTCAGCAGAAGTGGGTAATGGCTAGAGACTCAGTGCAAATATTCCATCACCTCACATCCAGAAACATGGTGCCCCTCTGAGCATGCCCCAGCTGGTCTCAGGAAAGAGTCAATGCATTCTGGGAAAGCACAAAGGTTGGGGTTTTGTTGTTGTTGTTGTTGTTGTTGTTTTCTACCTGGCTGTGGCTGCTTCTTCCATATGTATACATCACAGTACCTGGCAAAATATTGAGGACATATGAGAGGTTCAATGATGTATGTCCTGTTTCCACTTTGCCCTTTCCAAGTGCCCTTAAGAAACAAACAAACAGGCTGGGCGTGGTGGCTCATGCCTGTAACCCCAGCACTTTGGGAGACCAAGGCGGGTGGATCACCTGAGGTCAGGAGTTCGAGACCAGCCTGGCCAACTTGGCAAAACCCCGTCTCTACTGAAAATACAAAAATTAGCTGGGCATGGTGGCTGGCACCTGTAGTCCCAGCTACTTGGGAGGCTGAGGCAGGAAAATCATTTGAACCCAGGAGTCGGAGGTTGCAGTGAGCTGAAATTGCGTCACTGCACTCCAGCCTGGGAGACAGAGCGACAGAGCGACACTCCATCTCAAAAAAAAAAGAAAGAAAAGAAAGGAAAAAAGAAACAAACAAACAAAACAGAGCAAAACAAAATAAAGTTAAAAACTCAGCAGAAGTGGCCAGGCGCAGTGGCTCACACCTATAATCGCAGCACTTTGGGAGGCCAAGGTGGGCGGATCACGAGGTCAGGAGATCGAAACCATCCTGGCCAACATGATGAAACCCTATCTCTACTAAAAATATGAAAATTAGCTGGGCGTGGTGGCATGCGCCTGTAGTCCCAGTTACTTGGGAGGCTGAGGCAGGAGAATCGCTTGAACCCGGGAGGCAGAGGTTGCAGTGAGCTGAGATAGTGCCCCTGCACTCTGGCCTAGTGACAGAGCGAGACTTTGTCTAAATAAAAAAAAATTAAAAAAAAAAAACTCAGCTGAAGATGGGATCAGGAAAGAAATGCTGGAGACTTTATCTGCAATGTGTTTTTCAAGCTAGGTGGTGGGTGCATGAGCGCTCATTGTATTATTAGCCAGTCTTATGAAACATTTCATACATTTTAAAATCTGCAGCTTGTCTTAGTCCATTTTGTGTAGGGAATACCCAAAGCAGAATAATTTCTAAAGAAGTAGGTTTATTCAGCTTCCACTTCTGCAGGTTGTACAAGAGACATGGTGTCGGCATCTGCTTGGCTTCTGGAGAGTGCTTCTGTGCTGAGTTAAAATGTGGCAGAGAAGGTCAAAGCGGAAGCAGACGTTTAAGAAGAGAAACTAAACCTGAAGGGCATCCTGGCTTCATAACACACCCCCCTCCCCAAGTGCAATCTCATGAGACCGAGAACTCACTACCTCAAGAATGGCACCAAACCCCATGATCCAAGCACTTCCCATTAGGTACCATCTCCAAAATAGGGATCAAATTTCAACATGAGGTTTGGAGGAGACAAATATGTAAACCATAGCAAACCTTAGCACAGGTTGCAACCCAAGCTGGCAAAACAAAAAGGATGTCAGTGCCCGACTTGATTTCCCACAGTCCAGTGGATGATATCCAGGCTCCATGCCTGGCATCCAAGGTTCTTGGTGACATGGCCCACATGTTATGGACTGAATGTCTGTGTCCTCCCAAAATTCATGTGTTCCAAGTCCTAAATCACAATGTAATGGTATTTGGAGTGGGGGTGGGGATCCTCAAGATGAGATTAGTGCCCTCATAAAAAGAAGAAGAGACAACAGACCCCTCCCTCCCCTCCCCTCCCTCCCTTCACCCTCCATCCCTCTCTCCACCATGTGAGAACATAGCAGGAAGGCAGCCATCTGCAAGCCAGGAAGAAGGCCCTCATCAAGAACAAAATCTGTCTGCACCTTGATCTTGGACTTCCAGAACTGTGAGAAATAAGTGTTTGGACTGGGCACCGTGGCTTACGCCTGTAATCCCAGCACTTTGGGAGGCCGAGGTGGGTGGATCACCTGAAATCAGGAGTTTGAGACCACCCTGGCCAACATGGCGAAACCCCATCTCTACTAAAAATACAAAAATTGGCCAGGTGTGGTGGCAGGTGCCTGTGGTCCAAACTACTTGGGAGGCTGAGGCAAGAGAATCACTTGAACCTGGGAGGTGGAAGTTGCAGTGAGCCAAGATCACGCCACTGCACTCCAGCCTGGGCAGGAGAGCAAGACTTTGTCTCAAAAAAAAAAAAAAAAGAGAGAGAGAGAAATAAATGTCTGTTGTTTAAGTTCCCCGGTCTATGGTGTTTTGTTATAGCAGCCTGAGCTGACTAAGTCACCACTCTCCCTCCCGCAGCCAGAGTGTCAAGCATCTTGAACCATTCCCAGTTCCCTGAATATGCCACGTTCTCCCTGGACTGGGCACTTTGGAGTCTGCCTTCTCTTCCTTTTTTTCGCTTAATTAACTCCTGTTTGTTTATTGTATTTGGTCAAGTAGGCTAACGAAAAACTCCCATAATGCAGTGGCCTGAAAGATATAAATTTTCTCATGCCTGTAATCCCAGCACTTTGGGAGGCTGAGGCAGGCGGAAGGCTTGAGCCTTGGAGTTCAAGACTAGCCTGGACAACATAGTGAAACCCCATCTCTACAAAATAGACAAAAATTAGCTGGGCATGCTGGCACGCTGGCACGCGACCATGGTCCCAGCTACTCAGGAGGCTGAGGCGGGAGGATTGTTTTAGCCTGGGAGACAGAGGTTGCCGTGAGCTGAGATCACACCATTGCACTCCAGCTCGGGTGACAGAGTGGGCCCGGCCCCCAGTGCTTCGCATTTTCTACACTGAATACATTTTGAGTAAAAGTGTGGAGTACCCACTGCATAACTGCAGGGGCCAGGGAAAAATGAAAATATGAGACCCCTTTTTCAAAACTGAGAATTTTAAGATGGTAACAGCGGAGCATTACACCAAGCATCAGGTCCTTCTGCATGCAGGGCCCTCTACACCTGCACAGGTCGCATACCAGAAAGCCAGCCCTGAAAGCAGGAGTAAATAAAGGAGTGTAGTTTAGTAACCTGAATCATCCTGCATAAGAAAAGCTACGTATCTGTTGTGTATCCCTATGCAGTGCATGGAGATGAATCAAATCGTGCTTGTAAATATTTGGGAAAGAACTCTTTGCTACCCTACAGGCTACGTTGAATAGAGGTCATCCCCACGGTGAGGGCATTTCCCATTTCCCTTTGCCTTGTCATTTGCAGGGTAGGACACCACAGCTGGTGGGTTGCTAGCTCCTTAACAATCCAGATGTGTGGCGTCTCATCCTCCATTTGCCTCCTGCAGGATCCTCCTTTCAGTGAGTCATCGAAGCAGCAGTAGTCATCACAGTAATTTTCTTATAGCCTCAGAGACTCTTGGGGTTGGGAGGACCTTAGAAATCATTGCCAAGTTCTTCTCTGGCATCTGCTCAAACACCTCTAGCAACAGAGAGCTTCCTACCTCCCCAGGCAGCTCCTTCTGTTTTTGACAGCTCTGCAGATAGAGTTCTTCCTAAAGTTGAGCCAAGATCTACTTCCTCGTGACTTCTACCCACTGGCTCGGAGCCACACAGGGGAATTGTAATACCACTCCTGGGCCCTTCAGGTGTCTCAAGAGCTCTAATGTTCACCCAAAAGCAGAGGATGTCACCAGGCAGCACGAGGTGGAACACGGGCCACAGAAGTACTGTGTTTGGCCCAGACAAGGTTAAACTTTTGTTTTTTTGGATTGGTTACCAGCATTGAAAAATCTGGAGAGTTTATATTAAATGTAGAATTCAAGTCTCTAGAACTTGGAAGCTCTAGCAATACTTGGCTCATCTAATCCCACAATCCTATTTGCCACTAAGAGGACTAAAAATCGGTAGTGGGTGGCCAAGTGGCACCCTGCACCACAGCCAGCTGCCTTGGCTACTTGATATCCACCATGCATCCTCATTTAATTTAATGTTAGGACCCTTGTACTGATGAATATGTTAATGTACCCAGCCTCCCTACTACGGGAATAGCCAATGGGTTATAAACTCAAGTGTTTAAAGGCCGGGCGTGGTGGCTCATGCCTGTAATCCCAGCACTTTGGGAGGCCGAGGCAGGTGGATCATGAGGTCAGGAGATCGAGACCATCCTGGCTAACATGGTGAAACCCCATCTCTACTAAAACAAATACAAAAAATTAGCCAGGCATGGTGGCGGGCGCCTGTAGTCCCAGCTACTCAGGAGGCTGAGGCAGGAGAATGGTGTGAACCCGGGAGGCGGAGCTTGCAGTGAGCCGAGATTGCACCACTGCACTCCAGCCTGGGCGACAGAGCGAGACTCTGTCAAAAAAAAAAAAAGAAAAAAAGAAAAAGAAAGAAACTCAAGTCTTTAAATTAGCTTCGGGGAAAAGTTGTTCAAAGGGATGACTCTCCTTCTCACCGCTCCCCAACCCCCGGCTTTTTTTTTTTTTTTTTAACTTTTCTTCTTCCTGCTCAGAATGCAAAGGTGTTGCTGGTGCTCCAGCTACTACATTGTGACCATGGTAACCTTGAGGATAGATGCCACATGTAGGAATGTTGCAACAAACAGATAGTAGGATTCTGGGTCAATAACAATTATAGATAGAATAGAATGGCCGTATCAGCTCTGCCTACTTCTGAACTTCTTTTACTTAAAGTGAATAAATTTAAAAACCAAACGTAAGAGTGCTAAAAACACTCTTATTTAGGTAGAAGTCATTAGCAATGAAAAGCAGTTCCTACCTAGTATGTAACTTTTTTTCAATGCCTTTTCTTTTCTTTTCTTTCTTTCTTTTTTTTTTTTTTTTTTTTTCCTTTGAGACAAAGTCTCGCTCTGTTGCCCAGGCTGGAGTGCAGTGGTGCGATCTCTGCTCACTGCCACCTTGCCTCCCAGGTTCAAGTGATTCTCCTGCCTCGGCCTCCCGAGTAGCTGGGACTGCAGGCATCCACCACCAAGCCCAGCTAATTTTTGTGTTTTTAATAGAGGCGGGGTTTTATCATGTTGGCCAAGCTGGTTTTAAATTCCTGACCTCAAACGATCCACCCACCTTGGCCTCCCAAACTGTTGTGATTACAGGCGTGAGCCACCATGCTCAGCCTGCCTTTTCTTAAGGTTTTATTACGGGAAGCCTCACCATACACAAACATAGATAGATTAATATCTATGCGGAAAAGAATTAGTTAGGACCCTTACATTATGCACAAAAATTAACTCATAATAGATCACAGACCTTTTTATACGTGCTAAAACTATAAAATTCTTAGAAGAAAACATAACAGTATATCTTCACAACATTGGTGTAAGCAATGATTTCTTAGATAAGACACCAAAAGCATAAGCAATAGAGGAAAAAATAAACTGGCCTTCAACAAGATTAAAAACGTTTGTGCTTCAAACAATACCATCAAGAAAGTGAAAAGACGACATATGCAAATTATATACCTGATAAGAGACTTGCATTCAGAATAGATAAAAAAGTATTACAACTCAAATTAGAAGATTTTTTAAAAATCACTTTCAAATGTGCAAAGGATTTGAATTGACATTTTTCTGAAGAAGGTATACAAATGGCTAATAAGCACATGAAAAGATCCTCAACATCATTAGCCATCAGGAAAATGCAAATCAAAACCACAATAAGATACCACTTCACACCCACTAGGATGGCTAGAATCAAAAATAACAAGTATTGGCAAGGATGTGGAGAAATTGGAACTCCTGTGCGTTGCTCGTGGGAATGTAAAACGGTGCAGCTGCTGTGGAAAACAGTTTGGCGTCTCCTCAGAAAGTTAAACATAGAATTACCATGTGATCCAGCAATCCCACTTCTGGGTATATACCCAAAAGAATTGAAAGCAGGAACTCAAACAGATATTTTGCACCAATGTTCATAATGGTATTATTCACAATAGCCAAAAGGGGAAAACAACTTGTGTCCATCAGCAGATGAATGAGTAACATGTGTTATATAGGTAATGTGGAATATTATTCAATCATGAAAAAGAATGAAATCTTGATACATGCTGCAACATGGGTGAACCTTGAAAACATTATGCTAAGTGAAAGAAGCTAGACACAAGAGGACAAAGATTATATGATTACACATATCTGCAGTACCTAGAGTAGGCAAATTCATAGAGACAGAAAGTAGAGGGAGTGGGGAGAAAGGAGAATGAGGAGTTATTGTATAAAGCGTACAGTGTTTCTATTTGGAGCAATGAAAAAGTACTAGAAATAGAGAGTAGTGATTGTTATACAAACAATATTGTGAATGTACTTAATGCCACTGAGTTGCACAATTAAAATGGCTAAAATAGACAGGGTGCAGGAAGCCGAGGCAGGCAGGTCACTTGAGGATAGGAGCTCAAGACCAGCCTGGCCAACATGGTGAAACCCTGTCTCTACTAAAACTACAAAAATTAGCCGGGCATGGTGGCACACACGTGTAATCCCAGCTACTCAGGAAGCTGAGGCATGAGAATTGCTTGAACCCAGGAGGTGAAGGTTGCAGTGAGCCAAGATGGTGCCACTGACTCCAGCCTGGGCAACAGAGCAAGACTCCATCTCAAAAAAAAAAAAAGGTTAAAGTAGTACATGTTAAAGTAGTACGTATTTTACCATATAAAAAAATAAAAATTTAATAAGAGTATAACAACTGTTGGTAAGAATGTGGAGAAACTGGAACCTTCATACATTACTGGTAAGAATGTACAAAATGGTGCAGCCATTTTGGAAACCAATCTGGTAGTTCCTCCAAATGTGAAACATAAAGTTACCATACGACGCAGCAATTCCACTCCTAGGAATATTCAAGAAAAATTAAAATAAGTGTCCATACAAACATTTATACATGAATGTTCCTAGCACCATTATTCATAATAGCCAAAAAAGTGGAAACAATCCAAATGCCTGCCAGCTAATTAGTGGATAAACAAAATGTGACATACATACAACTGAATGTATTTATCACACAACAGTCAAAAAGAATGACCTACTAATACACACTACAACATGGATGGACCTAGAACACGTGTTAAGTGAGAGAAGCCAGTCATGAAAGACCACATATTGTAAGTTTCCATTTATAAGAAATATCCCAAATAAGCAAATTTATAGGGACAGAAAGTAGATTACAGTTTTCCCTTGGCTGGAATGAGAAGGAATGGGAATGGCAGAATGGGAATACCCATACTGCTAATGGGTATGGGGTTCCTTTTGGGGGGTGATAAAAATGTTCCAAATTTAGATTGTGGTGATGGTTACTCGATTCTGTAAATATACTAAAAACCATTGAATTGTACAGTTTAAAATGAGTAAATTTTAGAGCATATACATTATATCTCAACAAATCTGTTTTTCTCTTTCCCCTTTTAAAATCTTATTTGTAAAATTTTAAGGAATACAAGAGCAATTTTGTTACACGGATATACTGCATAGTGATAAAGTCTGGGCTTTTAGTGTAGCACTAAATGTCCGCTGTACTCATTAAGTTATATCTCAATAAATTTATTTTAACAAAATAGACCAGTGAAAAGAAACCTCGTGCACCTGTTTTAGCTTCAATAATTATTAACTTGTGTCAATTTATTTTCATCTGTACCCCTACTCTCCATTTCCATATTCTTTTGAAGCAAATTCCAGGCACTTTTTTTTTTTTTTTCAGACAAGGTCTTACTCTGTCACCCAGGCATGATCTTGGCTCACTGCAACTTCCACCTCCCAGAATCAAGCGATCCTCCCACCTCAGCCTCCCAAGTACCTGGGACTACAGCTGCACGTCAGAACGCCCAGCTAATTTTTCTATTTTTTATAGAGACGAGGTTTCATCATGTTGCCTCAGCTGGTCTCGAACTCCTGAGCTTAAGTAATTCACCCTTCTTGGCCTCCCAAGTTGCTGGGATTATAGGAGTGAGCCACTGCACTCAGTCCCAAACATCTTCCAATACAGAATTTAAAACCAGAAAAGTGCTATGACATGGTTGGCGGGCTGCATTGTTCCTGGCCACGTGACATCCAAGCTTGGTTCTCCAGTCTCCCCGGAAATATTGAAAATAATACAATATCTGGTAGTAAATCCCTTTTTTTTTTTTTTTTTTTTTGAGATGGAGTCTTACTCTGTCACCTAGGCTGGAGTGCAGTGGTGCAATCTCAGCTCACTGCAACCTCTGCCTCCCGGGTTCAAGCAATTCTCCTGCTTCAGCCTCCTGAGTAGCTGGGATTACAGGCGTGTACCACCAAGCCCAGTTAATTTCTGTATTTTTAGTAGAGACAGGATTTCATCATGTTGGCCAGGCTGGTCTTGAACTCCTGACCTCATGTGATCCACCCTCTTCAGCCTCCCAAAGGGCTGGGATTACAAGTGTGAGCCACTGCACCCAGCTGTAAATCCCTTTCTGCTCAAACTTTTCTGCAACTAAGAAACTTGACTGTTATGGCTACAATTGGCAGTGATCTTTAGTATATATACATCCACAGAGAGTATTTTGATCGAGCTGTGGTAGCTAAAAAATAGTGTTAGAGAATTGTCCATCCAGGGTGGAAACCTCTTTAGAAGCCCAGAAGCCTTCTGGATACTAGACGTAAAATTAGGTCTGTTCATGGGTGAAAATGCACTGGAGGAGAGATTATTCCTTCCCAGGGGAAACTCAAATATTAAAGAACTGATACCTATTAATAAGGTCCAAAATATTATTGTGTTGGTTCTTCACTATCTTGGATTCTGACTCTGATTTCCTAAGGAGAAATATGTTTTCTTTCCTGAATGGTAATGAATGAAAACATCATTCTTTTGCCCTTGGGAGTTGACTGATTCCTTGGCTCCTCTTGTCACATATTCTGCAACCTGGACTCACTCTTCAGCTCCTCCCTATGTCATGAGTAAGCTGTGTAGGCTCTGGTTAACATCTCCACCCAACCATGTTAACATAAAATAGGATCGATGGCCTTGGGATTTGGAATCCAACTGGCCTGTATCAAATGTCCACTTCTATCTCCTATTAACTGTGTGACCTTCAGCAACTCACTCAACTTTTCTGAGTCTCTGTTGCTTCGTCTATAACATGGGAATACCAACTCCACTTTTGCATGCTGGTTGAAAGGATGGCATGAAGTTAGCTTTACAAGGCACCTAGAGCAATGCCTGACATGAAATAGCCCTTCAGCAATTGTGATTCCCATACTGCCTGCCACCCTTTATTAGTAAATAAGAAATTGGGTTAAATTTTGAATTGGCATCTTCTCAATCAGAGAATATTAGGCTCTTGTTGATGGTGTTATTTTGATTTTAAGGTTTGCATTGTTTTTCCCCTAAATATATTACCTTTATATAATAAGAATTATAGCAATAATAAACATTTATTGAATGCTTGCTCTGTAGCAGACACTGTACTAAGATTTTAGTATCCTATTCCATCTTTGTCAGCCTTACTATGAATTGAGGATTATTCAGAGAACAGAAAACTCAGGTTTAGAGTCAATTTACTCACCTAACACCACACAACTAGTGAGTAGCTGGGCTGGCATTCAAAGCCCACCTGTCTGTTTCTAGAATCTTCCCTGTGCTGCTTCCCCATTTGCTCTGAGCTCTGTCTCTAGGATGCTCAATTCTCACAGCTTCCTAAAGAAGATCACTGCTCTCACCTCCAGGCCCTAGAACTACCAGGGTCTGGGGGCAGTTTTTATCAGGGAATTGGCTTCCTGGCTGACAAAGCCATTACCTAGCTTTAGAATCTTCCACCAGGCATGGTGGCTCACGCCTGTAATCTTAGCACTTTGGGAGGCCGAGGTGAGGGTGGATCACGAGGTCAGGAGATTGAGACCATCCTGGCTAACATGGTGAAACCCCTTCTCTACTAAAAATGCAAAAAAAAATTACCTTGGCGTGGTGGCGGGCGCCTGTAGTCCCAGCTACTCGGGAGGCTAAGGCAGGAGAATGGTGTGAACCCAGGCAGTGGAGCTTGCAGTGAGCCGAGATCGGGCCACTGCACTCCAGCCTGGGCGACAGAGCAAGACTCCATCTCAAAAAATAAAAATAAATAAATAAATAAAAAGAATCTTCCTACCACTGTAACTCATCTCTGTTGCCTGGGCTGCTTGGCCAGGGATTGCTCCCAGAGTCCTTGGTATCCTCCTTGACTTGACTCAGTGCCTTGCTTGGAATTCGGACTCCTGTTGACCACTGATTCCATGCCACCTTTCTGCTCTTGGCCCATGGATTTGCCTTAAGGACAGGTCCTGGCTGCCTGCCCAATTGTTGATCATCCACCCAACCTAGACCACCAATGGTTTTTGTGACTTGTGTGTTTCCTGACTTTGGCTTGACCATCATGGTAGGCAGCTTCTGAAAGGCTCTCAGTGATGATCCTGCCTCTTGCTATTCACACCTTGTGCAATCGCCTCTCCAGAGTGCCTTGCTTCTAAAGACTGTGACTTCTGTCTTGGTCAAATTCCCTCTCTCCTTCTCTCCCTCTGCTGCTTTCCCCATCCCTATCTCTCTTTCTCTCCATTCTCTCCCCACTCTCATTCACACTGATGAAGCAAGTTGCTATGTTGCCAGCTGCCCCACGGGAAGGCTCATATGTGAAGGAGGGACTGAGGACAGCCTGAAGACAACAGTCAGCAACTAACTGAGGTCCTTAGTCCACTCACCTATAAGGAACTGAGCTCTGCCAACTACCACGGGGTGACCTTGAAAGCAGACAGACCCTCCCCAGTTGAACTGACGGACACCTCAATTGCAACCTGTGAGACACCCTGAGCATGAGCACCCAACTAAACCATACTAAGGTTCTTCACCCACAGAAAAGAGATGATGTGTGTGCTACTAAGCTTCAGGGTAATTGTTATGAAATGATAGAGAACTGATCCAACCATTGACTTACAGGCTTCCATTAGGTGTACCCTTCATCCATGCTGTAACTTTCCAGCTAGCCATGTCACTGCGACACCACCACAGCCACCAGATTAAATGGATCAACTAAACATGCCTCAGAAATGATTTAATGGCTTTACACGAAGAGCATAGCTACCAGAGTCCGAATATTTGCATCTCCCTAAACTTCATATGTTGGAACTTAACCCGCAAAGTGCTGGTACTAAGAGGCCTATGGGAAGCGATTTAGTGCTCTTGTAAAAGGAGGGATCCTAATTGTACCCCTTTTGCCCTCCTGCTAAGTAAGGACTCAGCAAGGCACAGTCTTGGAAGCAGAGAGCAAGCCTTCACCAGACACCAAATCAGCTGGCACATTTTTTTTTTTTTTTTGAAACGGAGTTTTGCTCTTGTCACCCACGCTGGAGTGGAATGGCATGATCTCGGCTCACTGCAACCTCTGCCTCTGGGCTCAAGTGATTCTCTTGCCTCAGCCTCCTGAGTAGCTGGGATTACAAGCATGGGCCACCACCGCCCGGCTAATTTTTGTGTTTTTAGTGAAGACGGGGTTTCACCATGTTGGCCAGGCTGGTCTTGAACTCCTGACCTCAGGTGATCCACCTGCCTCGCCTCCCAAAGTGTTGGGATTACGGGCGTGAGCCACCACACCTGGCCCAAAGCAATGCCTGCTGGCACCTTGACCCTAGACTTCCCAGCCTCCAGAACTCTGAGAAACAAATTTATATTATTTATAAATTACCCAATCTGAAGTATTATGTTATAGCAGCAGGAATGGACTAAGAAAATTGGGCTTATTCTTTTAGAAAACTACATTCTCAGTGGGGGGAAATATTGCCACCAAAGGGACAGAAATTGGTTCTTGGGAAGTAAAAAATTGTACTTTTCGTGTATAAAGCACAGATGTATGTACAATAAGCAAACAGACATACAATATCTCTGTGGTATTAAAATTTCACTGATGTGGCCGAGTGCAGTGGCTCAAACCTGTAATCCCAGCACTTTGGGAGGCTGAGGCGGATGGATCACCTGAGGTCAGGAGTTCGAGACCAGCGTGACCAACATGGTGAAACCCTGTCTCCACTAAAAAAAAAAAAAAAAAAAAAATTAGCCAGTCATGGTGGCGGGCGCCTATAGTCCCAGTTACTCGGGAGGCTGAGACAGGAGAATTGCTTAAACCTGGGAGGCGAAGGTTGCAGTGAGTTGAGATCACACCACTGCACTCCAGCCTGGGCGACAGAGCGAAATTCCGCTAAGAAAAAAAAAAAAAATTTAATGATGTGTATTGAGGGGGTAGTAATCATGGAAAAAATCAGGTTGAGAAAACTCTGCTTCAGGATGACAAATCTGGCTGCCCCATGGAGGTTGGCATGCGGTAGGGAAATATGAGACAGCAGAAGCACTGTAGAAAACTGGTATGAAAGGTTAGGCATGCTCTAATAAGACACTTCCAGAATCTTCCCCAAGCCCAGTTAGATGCCTGGCCCTCCTGGAGGCGCTCTTCATACCCTGCACTTCCCCCACCATAGTGCTCAACACGCTGTTTCTTTTTTTTTTTTTTTTGAGACGGAGTCTCACTCTGTCGCCCAGGCTGGAGTGCAGTGGCGCAATCTCGACTCACTGCAAGCTCCGCCTCTGGAGTTCACGCCATTCTCCTGCCTGAGCCTCCCGAGTAGCTGGGACTACAGGTGCCCGCCACCATGCCTGGCTAATTTTTTTTTTGTATTTTTAGTAGAGACGGGGTTTCACCGTCAACACGCTGTTTCTAAGCTCCTCTCCCTTGTCAGGCAATCTGTTGACACGGACCATGCCAGCCAGAGCCTGGCACACAGTAGGAGGTTGAGAAGAGACTTTTGTCCACAGCTGGTTGTGCACCTTGCACTGTTTCTCCCCAAGCTCTGGGACACTCCAATGGGCACCAGCAGCTGCTTTGCTCCAGGCATCGTCCCAGGTCTGCTCTGCTCTGCGCCGAAGTGCTGAGGTTGCTTTTGTTCTCCAGGGAGGTTTAGGAAGGTCCCCCTCTCCTCACTGCTCTACTCCCTTGGCCCTGAGGTCACAGTCAAAGTGCTTCTGTTCCTCAGGGACAGGGCCAAGTAACAGCCAACAAGCCACACCCAAAACCTTCAGGCCGTGTGGCTGAGCCCAGCTCCTTGTGCCAGGCTCGTATTCTCTCCCAAGTGCCCTGCGGTCCATACTTGGGGACTTCCTTCCAGTAGCCTCCCTGCCCAGTTAACAAAGCATAAGATAAACCCTGGTTGTGACCACAGCTTACCACCCGCCTCTCTGGAGAAAATCTGTCAGACCCCATGGAAAGTGATGGGCACAAATCAGTCCTGATATGGGCCCAGGTCACTGACCTTGTGGTCCAGGTAAGCCTGAGCCTTGAGGCCTCCACTCCACAACAATCATCACAATATGAACGTGTAAATAAATTTAGGAACAGTTTAGGAGATCTCATGACTTTATGGAAATGTTTCACAAACATACTCATCACTAAGATACACAGGTAGAAACTCAAATCCACTTGAGTTCGAGGTGAGAATCAGAACAAACAAGACCTGAGAAGTGAGATAGGCATCCACCTTTGACCTAGTTTGAAGACTCAACCTGCTCTGACTCAGGTGTGGATATCTTTGTGCCAACTCACTAGTTGCATAGCCTTGAGCTAAAGTGGATGAAATTTTCTGTGCCTCAATTTCCTTGTCTATAAAACAAGGCTGGCTGGGTGCGGTGGCTCATGCCTGTAATCCCAACACTTCGGGAGGCCAAGGCAGGTGGATCACCTGAGGTCAGACGTTTGAGACCAACAAGGAGAAACCCCGTCTCTACCAAAAATACAAAATTAGCTGGCTGTGGTGGTGCATGCCTGTAATCCCATCTACTCGGGAGGCTGAGGCAGGAGAATCGCTTGAACCTGGGAGGCGGAGGTTGCAGTGAGCCGAGATCACACCACTGCACTCCAGCCTGGGCAACGAGAGCGAAACTCAGTCTCAAAAAAATAAAACAAGGCTAATAGTAGTACTTTCTCAAGGATTGTTGAGAGGATGAAATGAGGTGATCCCTCTAAAGGTCTACAAACCATAGCTGGCACACAGCTGGTGCTCAATGAATGTTACTCCATTGACCATGGGGCCCATCACGGTAGACACTCCACATCCATTACAGGGGCAGACCCAGTGTGTTTCCCACCCCAATGTCATTTTTCTCCCCCTTTTTCCCTGCTGCTAGAGGTGGCTCTTCATGCTAGCTTTTGGAAATGCTGGGTATTTATTTCCCCAGGCTCCTTCCCAGCAAAAAATTGCCATGGTTCAGTTCTGGCCAATGAGATGTAACAGAAAATGTGTCGGGGGAGCAATGTTCTCCTCCTTGATAAGAGAGATGTGTGGAAAAAACTCTTCTCCTTTCATGCTTTGGGCACTCTGGTGTGAAGACCTGATGCTTGGAGCTGATGCAACCATCTTGCCACCATGAGGGAGGAGCCACATGGGTTGCAGAGACTTAGACTCAATGCCTTGATATTACTCATCACTGATGTCATTGATCCTACCCTGGAATCACTTACCTTCTGCTTTCTCATTAGCTAGAACAACTCAATACATTTTATTTTACTTTATTATTATTTTGAGACAGTCTTACTCTGTTGCCTAGGCTGGAGTGCACTGGTGCCATTTCGGCTCACTGCAACCTCTACCTCCTAGGTTCAAGAGATTCTCATACTCGGCCTCCCGAGTAGCTGAGACTACAGGCATGTGACACCATGCCCCAGCTAATTTTGTGTGTGTGTGTGTGTGTGTGTGTGTGTGTGTGTGTGTGTGTGTGTGTTAGGGACTGGATTTCACCATGTTGGCCAGGCTGGTCTCCAACTCCTGACCTCAGGTGATCCGCCCACCTTGGCCTCCCAAAGTGCTGGTATTACAGGCATGAGCTACCGTGCTCAGCCAATACATTATATTTTAAAGCAACTATAAATCCCACTGTCTGTTACAACCAAGAGTATCTTAATTAGTATCATAAGCTAAGGAATCCTTACAACCTAACCCTCTTATGCAAGTATTGCTCCAATTTTACAGGTGAAGAAGCCGAAAGCAATGTGGCAGGAGTTTTGAAGATATATTACCTAATTTAATCCTCATTAAAACTCTGGAGGTAGGTTTTATCTCCATTTCAAATTTGTGTCCACATTTAGGAGATTCAATATTGCCCAGTCTCACACAATGTATACATGGACTAGATAGGACTTCTACCCAGATCTTCCAATTCTAAATAGAATGTTATTCCCAACATTCTTTGGTACTTTGATTCAGCATCAAAATCCTTTTGGACATTTTACTTCACTGCTGATGTCGAATAAATAAAAATTCAGCCACTCTAATTTAGGTCATGTCAACCTGAACATAATTATGTTCATTGCTTAGAAAGTGCATTTGCTAACGAAATATTAGTCATAGTGAGAAAGAATGGTGGCTACAGCTGGATGAAATTCACAGCCCTAAGACCCATGTGCCAATGTATATTTCTGTCTTTAGGCGCTCAGAGAATTTATATTCCCCATCCGCACTTCAACTGGTAATTGCCCAGCGTCTGTTCTTTTTAAGTCTTTATTATATTTTATTCTCTCCCAGATGTTGAGTTGGGCTGCAGTGATTTCAGGATTTCAGTGAGAGGTCCAGCTGCTGGGTTTGGGAAGTATCCATGCTTTGTTCCTTTTCAGTCCTTCAACTTGAATTTATGATGAGGTTTTGATGAATGGTTCCCTTCTCCCAGCCCTGCCCTCTTTGCATGTGTCTGCGTCTGTGATATCTTTGGTTTAATTATGCGGATGTGTCTCTTGTTAGAAAATTTATGTGATGACTGTTGTCAAGATCCAGGAGCCAGAACCAGGGGTTTGTGATCTAAACACCCTTGACTCCACTCTGCAGTACATCCAAAGTGAAGCTGGGAAGACCAGGTAGCTTATTAATTTAAGGCTCTATCAGGTTGAGAGTTTGAGAAAGTGTCAGCCCTGCAGTGAATTGCAGACATATGATGGGAACCAAGGATTTGAAGGACCAAGGCAAGATTAGGGGCAGAGGTAAGGGAGCATGGATAGAGATGAATGGGAGAGAGAAGATGGGGATGGATGGGTGAGTGTATTTATGGTATTCGCATAGATAGAACCATACAATTTGGACCTTTGCCATCCAGAGACTGCTGGCACCATCCAATAAACTTGGTTAAATTCACTCACGTCTTGACTTTCCAACTCAATTTTTTTTTCAAAAATAGAGGCAGGGTCTCTCTATATTGACCAGGATGGTCTTGAGCTCTGGACTTAAGTGATCCTCCCACCTTGGCCTCTCAAAGCACTGGGATTACAAGCATGAGCCATCATGCCCGGCCTCTAACTAGATCATACATTCTTTGAATTCAAATCTATTCTAGTTATTTCTTGCTGTGTAACAAATCACCCCCAAATTCAGTGGCTTAATGCAACAAAAGTCATTTCACTATCTGTCATTGTTTCTGTGGGTCAGGAATTTGGGACAGTCTCATCTGGACAGTTCTGGCCAGTGGTCTCATTTAATTGCAACCAGACAGTGGTTGAAGCAGCTGAAGACTGGCAGGACATCTTTCTTCAAGTAGGTTCAGGGCTTCTCTATCTAGGGGAGTTTGAGCTTCCTCACAGCATGGCGGACTTGTGGGCAGCCAGACTGCCTCCATGGCCGCAAACTTCAGAAGGGAGTATTCCAAAGTAAGGGGACAGTGGCATTGTTTGCTATGACCTTTCTGCTATATTTTATTGGTCAAAACAGGTGCAAAAGCTCACTTAATTTCAAAGGAAAGGGACATAGACGGCACCTCTTGATGGAAGGAATGTAAAGGTTACGTTGTAACAAGTGCTCCTAGGATGGGAGAGCCCTTGGTGGCCATATTGGAATACATGCCTTCACAAGACTTAACCTTTCCTATCTGTTTATTGATTATTCATTTTTTTTACCTCTCCCATAGTTCCTATCATTGAGCTACCATTACCAGAAGTGCTCTATGGGTGCTGACAACCTAATGCAATTCAATGCAACAAATTATTTATTGATTCATTTTACAAATTGCTCATTGAGCACATACTAGTGCCAGGTACTGAATCAGGCACAGGGGATACCATAGTGGGCAATTCTGCCTGTCCTCATGGATCCTATCACCTACTGAAAGAGATGTGCCACTGATTATTGAATAATCAAAGAAATATTATATGTTAGGACTGTATTAATCTGTTCTTATGCTGCTAATAAAGACATACCCAAGACTGGGTACTTTATAAAAGAAAGAGGTTTAATGGACTCACAGTTCCACATGGCTGAGGAGGCCTCACAATCATGGCAGAGAGCAAAGGAGAAGCAAAGGCAGGTCTTACAAGGCAGCCGGCAAGAGAGAGCAAGTGCAGGGGAACTCCCATGTATAAAACCATCAGATCTTGGGAGGCCGAAGCGGGCGGATCATGAGGTCAGGAGATCGAGACCATCCTGGCTAACACAGTGAAACCCCATCTCTACTAAAAATACGAAAAATCAGCCAGGCATGGTGGTGGGCGCCTGCAGTCCCAGCTACTTGGGAGGCTGAGGCGGGAGAATCGCTTGAACCCAGGAGGAGGAGCTTGCGGTGAGCCAAGATCGCGCCACTGCACTCCAGCCTGGGCAACAGAGCAAGACTCCATCTCAAAAAAAAAAAAAAAAAAAAAAAAAAAACAACCATCAGGTCTCATGAGACTTATCCACTACACAAGAACAGTGTGGGGGAAACTGGCCCCATGATTCAGCTATCTCCACCTGGCCCCACCTTGACACGTGGGGATTACTCCAATTCAAGGTGACATTTGGGTGGAGACACAACCAAACCATATCAGGAATAAACTATAGGAAGGAAGAAAACCATGGGGTTCTGGCCGGGCACAGTGGCTCACACCTGTAATACCAGCACTTTGGGAGGCCAAGGCAAGAGGATCAACTGAGGTCAGTAGTTCAAGACCAGCCTGGCCAACATGGCAAAACCCCATCTCTACTAAAAGTACAAAAATTAGCCGGGTGTGGTGGCAGGCGCCTGTAATCCCCCAGCTACTCGGGCGGCTGAGGCAGGAGAATCACTTGAACCTGGGAGGTGGAGGTTGCAGTGAGCCGAGATCATGCCACTGCACTCCAGCCTGGTGACAGAGCGAGACTTCATCTCAAAAGAGATGGAGACTCCATCTCAAAAAGTAATAATAATAATAATGAAGCTCTAAGTTAAGTGCTTAGGAGGGCATGGAGCTGGTCACAGAGAGGGCTGGGCAGAGCCAGAGACAGCTTTCCTGAGGAACCCACTTAAGGATGGAGATTAAGAGTTATGAGTTATGTGCCAGGCAGGGGCACTGAAGGAAGGCCAGGAAGGCCTGGGCATCAGCAGCCAGAGTGCACAGGGCTGGCTGACAGGCAGATGTCCTGTGCTGGTGAAGATGCTGAAATCGTGACTCATGGGAAGCCTACTCTTTCTCATGGGGGACTGGGGAAGTGTGTCTGTCAAGGCTCAGCCTGGAAAGTAAATGCCACTCCAGGTATTTAGGAGACCAAAACGTTTATTAGAGGGAAATAGAGGCTTGGAAAGTGGCAGTCAGGAGGGCTGCTTCAAGAAATGACAGAGCATGGGCATCCCGAGGAAGGGTCTCATGACATTCTCAGCAGCTAGTGGCACCAGTGAAATGGGTGAGCTCAGGAAGGTGACTCGGGAATGATGAATGTTGCTGCCAAGCGAATTCAGTGCTGCTGGATAATGATGGCTTCTTCTGCTCTTCTCTCTTCCAAATGCCATGCCAGTGCCTCGCAAGGTACAATCTAACTCAGCGCCATACTGGCAAAGCATCTGGGGGCACAAAGCCCCTGAGCTTGATGTTCCTGCATGTCTTGGATCATAGCCAGGGCCAGGACTAGGGTGGAGTGCAGGAGGCTCCTAGGGTGTAGAATGTAAGGAGACACTCTCAAGTGGCCCCTACACTTGCATGACCCTGAGAGTAACTGGCTCCTGAAAGCTTGCACCCTAGTCCCAGACCTGTATAAGATGAATTTGGAACTGCATTCTGACTGGTGGTGGCAACCCTCAGCAAAAACTTCTGGGTCAAGAAAGGATCTATGGAGAGAGCCATGTCTAAGCTAAGACTAGAGTTACCTGGGTGGAGGGAAGATGTATTCCAAGAAAAGATAATAGCATGTAGAAAATCCTAGAGACCTTCGGCCGGGCACGGTGGCTCACACCTGTAATCCCAGCACTTTGGGAGGCTGAGGCAGGCGGATTGCTTGAGCTCAGGAGTTTGCGACCAGCCTGCGCCACAGGGTGAAACCGCGTCTCTACTAAAATACAAAAAAATTAGCCGGGCGTGGCGGCGGGCGCCTGTAGCCCCAGCTACTTGGGAGGCTGAGGCAGGAGAACTGCTTGAGCCTGGGAGGCGGAGGTGGCAATGAGCCGAGATTGTGCCACTGCACTCCAGCCTGGGTGACAGAGTAAGACTCCATCTCAAAAAAAAAAAAAAAAAAAAAAGAAAGAAAAGAAAATCCTAGAGACCTTCAAGCGCCTGGCTCAGTAGCAGGATTGAATGACAGAAGTCATTGTAACAAGATGATGAGTTCTTCTAGCATTTGCTTGTGTCTTCTAAATGTTTTGGGTACAGACTGGTATTCTTCTGGGTCCTGGTGAGTGACACCGTGGGATTGCAGAACCACACGCTAACCATGAAGAATTGGGTGGAGCAAGGTAAAGTTGAAGGAGACCCATCAGTTCCAGAAAAAATGGCTCAGGCTACAGCCTGACGGGGCTACAAGGCTACAACCAGGGACTCTCAGCCTCAGTTAGAGCAGAAATGAGGAAAAATGGGAGACAGAAGATGCTTTTTATATACGAGAGGGGGTTCAATTCTGTGGTACCAACCACTTCTTTTTTTTTTCTTTCTTTCTTTGTTTTTTCTTTCTTTCTTTTTTTTTTCCAGACAGTTTCGCTCTTATGGCCTAGGCTGGAGTGTGATGGCGTGATCTCGGCTCACCACAACCTCCGCCTCCCGGGTTCAAGCGATTCTCCTGCCTCAGCCTCCTGAGTAGCTGGGATTATAGGCATGCGCCACCACGCCCGGCTAATTTTGTGTTTTTAGTAGAGATGGGGGTTTCTCCATGTTGGTCAGGCTGGTCTCAAACTCCTGACCTCAGGTGATCAGCCCACCTTGGCCTCCCAAAGTACTGGGATTACAGGCGTGAGACACTGTGCCCGGCCGGTACCAACCATTTCTAATCATGATTACTAAACACCACCCTGGTCCAGCGCACCCTAATCTCTCACTTGCATCAGAACAACAGCCTCTTAATGGCCTCCCCACCTCTGCCCCTGCCCTCTACTGCAGGGGTCCCCAACCCTCGGCCCCGGACCAGTACCAGTCCATGGCTTGTTAGGAACTGGGCTGGCCACGCAACAGGAGGTGAGCAGTGAGCAAGCCAGCGAGGCTTCATCTGCCAGGGCTTCTGATTTTGCAAGAGAAATCACATGTCTGGATTTTTATGTCAAATCCAACGCTTATGTATTGGCAAGTAAAGTTTTTCTTTAACATGGAGCTGGCCAAATAAATTAGAGGCACCAAATCTCTCATTTGTGGCCCCTGGTTTTGTGGAAAGGAGTGGTGCCACATTTGGAAAGTGGACTCCAAAGTCTGATGATGAGGCCCTAAGAGTCTTGCGTGGAGTGGGGGTGGGAGGTGGGGCCCGCAGCCCCCAACCTGGGCCTCTGGTTTACATGCCCGGCCACGGCCACTAGGGGGAGCTCAAGGCTTCCTCCCCTCTGATCACACCTGGGCAACTCTGCATCCCCTAGGAGCCAACAGCCAGGAACTCAGTCGCTCTGCAGGGCGAGGGGAGGTGCACAAGCAAAGTGGCCCAAGACTCTCAGGCCCACATGGCAACTTCTCTTTGGACTTCCCTTGGGATTTCTCTTGGGAGCTCCCTGTGTTGGAATTGTTCTGGCTCCTCTAGTTGTATTCCTGCCTCTCAGACCCTTGGTATCCAGATGCACTTGAGCAGCGTCCACCTGCAATAGCCAAGCAGGAACAGGCCAGGAGGAGAGGAAGGGAGCAGGAAGGCCCAAGCTGGGGTTATGACCAGAAGCTTCAGCACACACACTGGGGAGGACTGAATATCTGTTTCCTTAACCAACATTGGAGGACAGGCAGCTTATCAAGAATAGGGGGACTTGGAGGTGGGCGCACTGGCTCACACCAGTAATCCTACCACTTTGGGAGGCAGAAGTGGGCAGATCATCTGGGGTCAGGAGTTCAAGACCAGCCTGGCCAACATGTCGAAACTCCATCTTTACTGCAAATATAAAAATTAGCCAGGCGTGGTGGTGCATGCCTGTAGTCCCAGCTACTCGAGAGGCTGAGGCAGGAGAATTGCTGGAATCTAGGAGGCAGAGGTTGCAATGGGCTGAGATCATGCCACTGCACTCCAGCCTAGGCAACAGAGCAAGACTCCTTCCCAGGCAACAGAGCAAGACTCCTTCCCAAAAACAAAAACAACACCAAAAAAAGAATAGTGGGACTTGGCGACCGGGACTACTATGATCTGAATGTTTGTGCCTCTCCAAAATTCATGTGTTGAAACCTAACCCTCAATGTGTTGGTATTAAGAGGTGGGGCCTTTAGGAGGTGATTAGGTGATTAGGAGGTGAATGAGGTTGGTGCCTTTATAAAAGAGACTTGAAGGAGCTTGTTCGCCTTCCTCACCATATGAGGAAACACAGAAGGTGCCTTCTATGAGGGATGGGCCCTCACCAGACACTGAGTCTACTGGCACCTTGATCCTGGGCTTCCAGCCTCCAAAATGTGAGACAGAAACATCTTTTGTTTATAAATTACTCAGTCTGTGGCATTTTGTGACAGAGACTTGAACAGGCTAAGACATGGCCCAGTATCCTCTGTCTCATAGTTACTAATGCTCTCAGGAGGGAGGTGGTATCTCTGTTTTTGTAGACAAGGACAACAGACTTGGAGAAATGACAAACCCAAGGCCACATAGCTGTGAGTGGTGGGATTTCGTTGGAACCCAGGGCTGTGTTATGCAGGAAACTGCGTTCTGTCTACTCCACAGCTCAGCCCAGGAAAGAATGCCTAAGTGAACCATAAAAGCACAGGGTCACACCCGTGGTACTAGAAGGGAACTTTAAAGTCACTGAATTTGATGTCCCTTCAGACCTGACACCCTTCTTTATTGCTTCTAACTATTGGTCACTAGTGAAAACTCTCATGAATAAAACCAGCAAGGTTTCCCTCCCCTCCTGGCTGTCACCCACTTGGATTAGAATTTTTGTCTCTCTCTGTCTCTCCCCAGCCTGTGGGGCCTGACCACTGATAGCTTTGTCCCCTCTCCTTGAGAAGGTCTGCTCTGTGTTTGACTAAAGACCCCATTACAGAAATGAAACCCTCCTAGCTTCTCTAACAATGCATCTTTTATTTAAAAAGACCCCATTTAGCAAAAAGACCCTATGCTGGGATTTGAATCAAAGATCAGGAGAAGCAGAAGCCGGGAGCAAAAATGATGCGCTCCTTTGTTGTCGATCAGAGCCAGGCCCAGGAGGAGCATGTTAAAGAAAGGTTGTCAGGCCACAACTTTGGGGCACCTTGAACCAGCTTCCCTGCAAAGGTTCTCCGGACATTGTTCTGAGAAAGAGTGAGCTGCCCCCCAGCTTCCTCTCCTCACCAGCTGCAGACTGGCATCCCTGTCTCCCGGAGCTCTCTGGTTCCTTTGGTCTCCTCTTGTCTGCTTGGCCAAAAGAGACATCACTCACTGGTGCCATGAAGTCAGAGCAACAACAGGCCTGTGCAGATGTGCAGAGGGTGGGCGGTGCACGTGGGGGTGGGGAGCAAGCCTGGGTGTCATCAAAGCTGATGCTGATATGAGATTTAGTTCCTCTCTCCCACTCACTTCATTTGCACACTTTAACGCAACTTGCTGAATTACATGAGTTCAGTTGATAAGCCCTCCCTCCAGAAAGTCTTCCAAGAGAAAGCTACTCACTGTGAATGCACTAATCAGATCCAGCAAGAAGTTATTACAGCACCTTTCCCTGAAATGCGATAATCCCGTTTCTAATTTACTTATTATGCAATAAGAAAATGCCTTCGTTAATTTCATGAGAAAAGCACATTAACCTACTTACAGATCTCATGTTTCTTCATGAAATCATGAATAGCATCAGTTCCCTTTAATAAATGGAATGCTTAAAGAAAATCAAGAATAATTACTTTGTTTATTAACATTTGGTGATTCACATTTCAAAAGCAATTTCAATAAATACAGTGTGAATCTGAAATGGGGCCTTAAGCTAGTGATCCGCATGGAGTAAAACAATGTTCCTTTGAACCCGGGGCAATTTAAAATTCGTGTTTTCTAAGGTGTGTGTATCACCAATGTATGCACCAGTGATTCAAATTATGTCCAAGAATCCAAGGTTATGGTGAATGCATCCATTTTTTTTGTGTTTACTCTTCAAGGACAAGTGTTTTTGTGTTTACTCTTCAAGGACAACAGGAACCTGCCTGGAGTGCATGGTCCTTTTTTTTCTTTTTCTTTTTCTTTCTTTCTTTTTTTTTTTTTGAGATGGACTCTTGCTTTGTCACCCAGGCTGCAGTGCAGTGGTGCGATCACGGCTCACTGCAACCTCCACCTCCAGGGTTCAAGCCATTCCTCTTGCCTCAGCCTCCCAAGTAGCTGGGACTACAGACGCGTGCCACCACGCCCAGCTAATTTTTGTATTTTTAATAGAGACGGGGTTTCACCATGTTGGTCAGGATGGTCTCGATCTCTTGACCTCGTGATCTGCCTGCCTCAGCCTCCCAAAGTGCTGGGATTACAGGCGTGAGCCACTGCACCCGGACTGCATGGTCCTTTTCTCTGCACACCCCACTCCTCCCACATCTTCAGTGAGCTGGAGGCAGAAGCAGAGAGCAGACTCTTTTCTTTGATGATCGCTGGAGACCTTTGGGATATGGATTCTGGCAACACAAGTCTTATTTCTTCACCTGCTCTGTGCTTTCCAAACTTCCTCTGCCACTGTGGTAGGCTGAATAGTGCCCTCCTAAAAGCTGCCCATGTCCCAATCCCTGGAGCCTGAGAATGTGTTACCTTGTTTGGCAAAAGAATAAACAAGAAAAAAAAAAAAAGACTTCGGAGATGTGATTGCATTAAGGATCTTGAGATGGGGGATTATCCCGGATTATTCAGGTGGTCCTAAGTGCCATCACAGGTATCCTTATAAAAGGGAAGCAGGCTGGTTTTGGTAGCTCACACCTGTAATCCCAGCACTTTGGGAGGCCGAGGCAGGCAGATCACTTGAGGTCAAGAGTTTGAGACCAGCCTAGCCAACATGGCGAAACCCCGTCTCTACTAAAAATACATGTAGTAATCTCAGCTAGTCAGGTGGCTGAGGCACAAGAATTGCTTGAAGCCAGGAGGGGAAGGCTGCAGTGAGCCAAGATTGTGCCACTGCACTCCAGCCTGGGTGACAGAGTAAGACTCTGTCTCAAAAAAAATAAAAACAAACAAAACACACACACACACACACACACACACAAAAGAAGCACAAAAAAACAGGGAAGCAGAGATATATTTGTATACACACAGAAGGAGAGGAGTTGATGTGACCATGGAGGGAAAGATTCAAGTGATGGGGCCACAAGCCACAGAATGTGGGCAGCCTCCAGAGAAGCTGGAAGAGGCAAGGGAAAGGGTCCTCCCCTAGAGCCTTCAGAAGGAACACAGACCTGTTAGCACCTTAATTCCAGCCCAGTGAAACTGATTTTAAAGTTCTGGCCTCCAGAACTGTAAGAAAATAAATATGTGTTATTTTAAGTCACCAAGTTTGTAGTGAGTTATTACAGAACCACAGGAAACAAACAAAGCCATCTTCATGATTTCTGCCGTATCTGTGTACCAATAGCATTTTTGTTTACTGACATGTTTCTTTCAATCAAGTCTGAGCTAACATAGCTATCTATTTTCGCTTTGTCCTAGCAATAATATTCGTGAATCATACAAGTTCACTATACATAAAATAAATATTCAATTTAACTCATTTATTTATTATTTTATTTTATTTTTTTGAGATGGGAGTTTCTCTCTTGTTCTCCAGGCTGGAGTGCAATGACACGATCTCGGCTCACCGCAACTTCCACCTCCCGGGTTCAAGCGATTCTCCTGCCTCAGCCTCCCGAGTAGCTGGGATTACAGGCATGCACCACCACACCCAGCCAATTTTGTATTTTCAGTAGAGATGGGGTTTCTCCATGGTGGTCAGGCTGGTCTCAAACTCTGGGCCTCAGGTGATCCACCTGCCTTGGCCTCCCAAAGTGCTGGGATTACAGGCGTGAGCCACCTTGCCCGGCTCAATATAACTCATTTTAAATACACATCTCTATGTCCTCTACAATTATTGAGTGAACCATCAGACCACCAATAGAAGTGATCAACTTTCTGCGAAACATTAACCCAGCTCCACCCAGCTCAGGAAGAATCTATCATGCAGCTGAGCTTTCAAAACTGCTCTATTTCATTCAAATTTCACTTGAAAATGATCAGAAGAAAGAAAGAATCAGCCCCTTTAAAAATAGAACCCATTTCTCCTGCAAAATTTCACAGAGCCAGATTTTTAAATGCAGAAATGAGCAGAATCTTAAATTCTTCTTGATAGAGTTACTATTACTTTGAAATGGCAAAAACCGCAATTCTTTTTGCGTCAACCTAATACCATACAGATAAGGACCCTTAAAGGGGAAGGAGGGAGCCATTGAGTGTGCTAGCAGGGAGCTGGGTCTGGTGGCAGACTCTAGCTAATAGAAGTCTTCTCTTCCCAGCCTGAACTGGAATTGTGGGTGCCCAATGTTTTCCTCTCTCTTTTCTGCCTCAGGACACAAAAATACATAGGCAAAGCAGGAATTACTGTGCAAGGGAGATGCAAAGATTTTTAATTAGTTTTTTTGTTTGTTTTTGAGACAGAGTTTCACTCTTGTTACCCAGGCTGGAGTGCAATGGCACGGTCTTGGCTCACGGCAACCTCCACCTCCCAGGTTCAAGCAATTCTCCTGCCTCAGCCTCCCGAGTAGCTGGGATTACAGGCATGCACCACCATGCCCGGCTAATTTTGTATTTTTAGTAGAGATGGGGTTTCTCCATGTTGGTCACGCTAGTCTTGAACTCCCAACCTCAGGTGATCCACCCGCCCCAGCCTCCCAAAGTGCAGGGATTACAGGAGTGAGCCACTGTGCCTGGCGGTGCAAAGATTTTTAATGCTGAAGAATGGTGAGGTAGTAGAATTGAAAAGGCCCCTTGCCCCTCCACTGGAGAAAGATACGCTGATTGTAAAATGCTTTCCCAGACTCAAGCAGAGGAATGGGCAAAGCAGCTTTCACCCCAAGAATTGGAACTGCCAAAACAGGCACAACCAGGGGGATCTTCAACTCCGAAAAGAGTCAGAGTAGTACTGCTTAAACCTGGGAGTAGATATCGATGAGCAATGGTTACTGAGAGTTAAATCTAAAAGAAGCCAGTCCTGGATTTGCACTTACACTTCCCCATTTTAATTATTTATTTATTGAGATGGAGTCTCGCTCTGTCACCCAGGCTAGAGTGCAGTGTCGTGATCTTGGCTCACTGCAACCTCTGTCTCCTGGGTTCAAGCAATTCTCCTGCCTCAGCCTCCTGAGTATCTGGGATTACAGGCACCTGCCACCATGCCCGGCTAATTTTTGAATTTTTAGCAGAGATGGGATTTCGCCATGTTGGCCAGGCTGTTCTCAAACTCCCAACCTCAGGTGATCCGCCTGCCTCAGCCTCCTAAAGTGCTAGATTACAGGCATGAGCCACCATGCCCTGGTCATTTCCCAATTTTTTAAAAAAACATTGTTTCATCACGAGACATTATGGCATGTGGGAAGTGCTCCAGACATATTTGAAGACTGATAAATGATGCCCAGTTCTGGTGGCCCACACCTATAATCCCAGCACTTTGGGAGGCTGAGGCAGGAGGATCACTTGAGCCCAGGAGTTCAAGACCAGCCTGGGCAACATAGACCCTGTATCTAAAAGAATAAAATAAAATAATTAGCCAGGTGTAGTGGCGCATGCCTTAGTCCTAGCTTCTTGGGAAACTAAGGCAGGAGAATCACTTGAGCCAGGAGTTTGAGGTTGCAGTGAGCTATGATTGTACCACTGTACTCCAGCCTGGATGACAGGGTGAGACTCTTCCTCTTTAAAAAAAAAAATAATAATAATGAATGAATGATAAATGATTAGATCCTCTCCTTTAATTTATACATTACTTCTACTGTTGAGAAAAGTAATTTGAAAACAAAATTCTACTTTTTAATTCTAAAAGGTTGATAGCTTGGATCACAAGTCTATGATATGGGGCTTCACCTACCAAGCCTAGGGACAGCCAAGCCCTCTGATTACACCTAAGGCAACAGTCACAGGTATTCTTCTTTCCCTCTGGACCTAGGCACTGCTCTGGTCCATCTTCTGATGGCCAGCATCCACCCCAAGATTCTAGCACTGTCTTAGTTTGTTTCCTGCTGCTATAAGAAAATGCCACAGACTCTACAATTTATAAACAATAGAAGTTTATTTGGCTTATGGTTCTGGAGGCTGGCAAGTCCAAGAGCATGGCACTGGCACCTGGCGAGTGCCTTCATGCTGTGTCATAACATGGCAGAAGGGCATGCAAGCATGAGCAAGACAGACAGAGAAATGGAAGTCAAACTTCATCCTTTTATTTATCCTAGGAACCCACTCACGAAATAACAAACCCATAACTAATCCACTGGCATGATAGGATTAATTCATTCATGAGGGCTCTGCCCTAATCATTAAAGGTCCAACCTCCCAATACCATTACACTGGCAATTAAATGTCAACATGTGTTTTGGAGGGGACAGTCAAAGCATAGCAAGGAGGAATCTTCTCCCTCCAGAGTCGGTTGAATGCTGACTGACTCTGGGCCATGGTGAACCACTGTGATGTTTGCCCTTCCAGGATCATTGCTCTTTCTTTTCTTTCCTTCTTTCTTTCTTTCTTTCTTTCTTTCTTTCTTTCTTTCTTTCTTTCTTTCTTTCTTTCTTTCTTTCTTTTCTTTCTCCTTCCTTCCTTCCTTCTTTCTCTTTCTTTCTTTCTTCCTTCCTTCTTTCTCTTTCTCTCTCTCTTTCTTTCCCTTCCTTCCTTCTTTCTTTCTTTCTCTTTCTTTCTTTCTTCCTTTCTTTCCTTATTGGTTACTAGTATCCAACTCATTCCTTTAGAAGAAATCTTCAAAATTGTTGGGTTAGAATTGAGCCAGCCCTATTTTCTAGGGGTGGCTGTACATCATAGACTAAGCCAATCAACATATTTCATGTCCTTGGCCACAGTGAATGTGCAAGGGAGGAGTCAAAGAGAATGGGGCTGAGAACTTTTTATTCCAAATGCCTCAAGGAAGAATCTTCATATCTGGGCTGAACCTGAGAGTCAGAAGGACTAGAGCAGCTAGGTGCCATGGTAATAAGAGAGCTTTAGGAGAGTAAAGTTGACATGGAGTTAGAGCATATCAGAGGAAACCAGAGGTGAGATAAAGAGAGAGGTCACAACATTGTTTGAGACTCTAGGTTCAGCCATACCTGAAGCACTATCCCCCTGCACCCCTCAATTATATGACTCAATACATTATTATATTTTCTTTTTTTAAAGTTAGGTTTTCTGTTACATGCATTTGAAAATATCCTGAAAAAGTGGGGCTGAGGCACAAACTGCATCTTTGTAAGAACAGGGCATGTACCTCTTCTAGAGAGGCACATTATTAAAAGGTGGCTTACACCTGTAATCCCAGCACTTTGGGAGGCTGAGGCAGGCTGATCACAAGGTCAAGAGATCGAGACCAGCCTGGCCAACATGGTGATACCCCACTTCTACTAAAAATACAAAAATTACTCGGGAGTGGTGGTGCACACCTGTATTCCCAGCTACTTGGGAGGCTGAGGCAGGAGAATTGCTTGAACCCAGGAGGCGGAGGTTGCAGTGAGCAGAGATCGTGCCATTGCACTCCAGCCTGGTGACAGAGTGAGACTGTGTCTCAAAAAAAAAAAAAAAAAAAAAGTGGGGGGTATACCCACTTGCTTTGGCTGGGGGCATGGCCAGACATCAAGTTCAGCCTGGATTGAAGTCCCCTTCTTGCCCCATCTGCTGGGTTTCCTTGTACAGGGAATAACCTCCATAATTATACTTGGCAGTGACTGAGAAAGAATTTTCTCCTTTAAGTAGCCAGCCTCCAAAATGGCCCTCATGATACTCACTTTCTGGTATTCATACCCTTATGTATTCCCTCCCAGCCCTGTATAGGGCTGACATGTGGATCCAATAAGATGTTGTAGCAATAAAATGTGAAGGTCAGGCGTAGTGGCTCACACCTGTAATCCCAGCACTTTGGGAGGCTGAGGCAGGAGAATCACTTGAACCCGGGAGGCGGAGGTTGCAGTGAGCTGAGATCACGCCATTGCACTCCAGCCTGGGCAACAAGAGCAAAACTTTGTCTCAAAAAAAAGAAATAAGATGTGTAACTTCTGACAGTGAGTCATAAAAGATATTGCAGCTCTGTCTTACTGGCTCTGGGATCACTCTGTCTGAGGGAAGCCAGCTGCCATGTCATAAGGACACTCAAGCAGCTCTATGGAGTGCTACACATGTGAAGGAACTGAAACCACCTGCCAACAGTCATGACTAGCTCACCAGCTGTGTGTGTGCCATCTTGGAAACAGCTCCTACAGCCCCAGTCAAGTCTTCAGATGATTTCAGCCCTGACTGACCTGTTGACTGGAACCTCACAAGAGACCTCAAGCCAAGAGTACCAAGCTCAGCTGCTGTTGACTCAACAGACCCACAGAATGTATAAGATAAGAAATGTAGCCAGGCCAGGTGCGGTGGCTCACGCTTGTAATCCCAGCACTTTGAGAGGCTGAGGCGGGCGGATCACAAGGTCAGGAGATTGAGACCATCCTGGCCAACATGGTGAAACCCCGTCTCTACTAAAAGTACAAAAATTAGCTGGGTGTGGTGGCGGGCGCCTATAATCCCAGCTACTTGGGAGGCTGAGGCAGGGAAATCGCTTGAACCCTGGAGGCAGAGGTTGCAGTGAGCCGAGATCACGCCACTGCACTCCAGCCGGGTGACAGAGGGAGACTCTGTTTCAAAAAAATAAAAAATAAAAAGAAATGTAGCCAGGCATAGTGGTGTGTGCTTATAGTCCCAGCTATTGGGGAGGCTGATGTAGGAAGATCACTTGAGTCCAGGAGTTCCAGACCAGCCTGGGCAACATAGTGAGACCCTACCTCTAAAATGTAATTAATTAGTTAAAATCAATATAAACAAGAATAGCATCGATTTTTTTAAAAAAGCACTATTTATTGTTGTTTTAAGCCACCATATTTTGAAATAATCTGCAATAGACAACTAGAGTACTCTATATCAGTCTTCTCTTTTCCAGACCTATTTCCTGGCCAAATTCTCTACCAGGGGTCCTCCTTGATTTCTTTATTAGTCTACCCAGCCCTGCTCCAGGCAGCCTCAATCTCATCCTCTTTACTCAATGGCACTTTTGTAGAAATCACCCTTTGATGCCTCTGCTGTGCTTCCTCTGCTTTATCCCTGTTCCTGCCTCTTCTCCACCTGAAGAGAAACCGCTCTTTCTCCTTCATACATTCCCCGTTTTTCTCTTGACAAACATCATGACAACAAGTGCAGTGGATAATCCTTGTGATAAGAAAATAGGGAGTGAGAGGCAGTGGCTCACGCCTGTAATCCCAGCACTTTGGGAGGCCAAGGCGGGTGGATCGCCTGAGGTCAGGAGTTTGAGATCAGCCTGGCCAACATGGCGAAACCCTGTCTCTACTAAAAACACAAAAAATTAGCCGGGCATGGTGGCACACTCCTGTAATCCCAGCTACTCGGGAAGCTGAGGCAGGAGAATTGCTTGAACCCGGGGGAGGGGGAGGAGACAGGCTGCGGAGGTTGCAGTGAGCCGAGATTGCATCACTGCACTCCAGCCTGAGTGATAGGGTGAGACTCCATCTCAAAAACAAACAGAAAAAAGAAAAGAAAATTGATTTCTTTACGTATCTCAATAAAGTGGGAAAATTGCATTTTTGTTTTGAGGCTGTTGTTCCCTCCTCCAGCTTTGCAAATGGCACAGAGGGGAGAAAGCTCCCATAACCCTTTCCTGTGGAGAAGTCCAGGCAGTCAGAAGAGCCCTGTGAGTTCTGATTTTCCACGGGGCTTTTACGGTGGCAGAAGGGGGCTGGGGAGCAGGCTGCCACCATCGTCATGGCAACATGCTCCCTGGTGGGTCCTGGGCTGCACTCCCAGGCAGGGGAAGCAGCTCCCAAGCGCATATCCCTCACGGAGTGGGCAGCGGAAGGCGGGGCTGCCCAGGAAACCGTGGGGGCTGGGGCAGTGAGGCCCAGCAGGTGTTCCATCCCTGGAGGCAGGCAGCCAGGTGGGCCAAGCCAGCAAGTCCAGCCCTAGAGAACAGGGTCAGCTTGTCCCAGGACCTAACCAGAGTCATCCATGTGGGCAGATCTTTGCCCTCCTGTGCTGGTCCTACTCCCTGATGACGTGCTCAGGTCTGGGCTACAGGTGACCCTGCCTCTGGAAATGAAGGTCAACAAACTGTCATTCACTGTGACAGTGGTTCCCAAACTTGGCCGCACATTGACATAATTGGGGGATCTTTTAAAAATGTGGATGCGGCCGGGTGCGGTGGCTCAGACCTGTACTCCCAGCACTTTGGGAGGCTGAGGCGGGCAGATCACTTGAAGTCAGGAGTTCCAGACCAGCCTGGCCAATATGGCAAAAACCCATCTCTACTAAAAACACCAAAATTAGCCTGGCGTGATGGTGGGTGCCTGTGGTCTCAGCTACCTGGGAAGTTGAGCCATGAGGAATGATTGAACCAGGGAGGTTAAGGCTGCAGTGAGCTGAGATCGTGTAACTGCACTTCAGCCTGGATGACAGAGCGAGACTCTGTCTCAAAAAAATAAAAATAAAAATAAAAATAATAAAAATAAAAATATGGATGCCTGTCACTCCCAGCCATTCTGAAATTGCCAGGTGATGCTAACATGCAGTAAAGCGTGGGAAGCATCGCACTATGCTAAGGTTCTGGGCCGGACCCGTGCATAAAAATCACCTGGGAAACAAGAATACAGACACCCAGATCTCCTTATTTCAAAATCTCCTGAGTTGGTCCCAGGTATCTACCTTTTTCACAGGCTTTCAGTAATTCTGGAGAGCAGCTGGCGGTGCATGTCACTCATCCAGCATAACATAAGGCAATGCTTTGTGGCGTGGGTGGTAGTAAGGAATGTGGCAGGGACTGGGTGAATTGGAGACTTCCATAGGCCTCACTTTATCCATTGGGGTTCACTGTGGATGGGGATGTTGCATTGAAACTATTAAGTTAGGCCGGGCATGGTGGCTCACGCCTGTAATCCTAGCACATTGGGAGGCCAAGGCAGGTGGATCACCTGAGGTCAGGAGTTCGAGACCAGCCTTGCCAACATGGCAAAACCCCATCTCTACTAAAAATACAAAAAATAGCCAGGCATGGTGGTGGGCACCTGTAATCCCAGCTACTTGGGAGGCTGAGGCGGGAGAATCACTGGAACCCGGAGGCTGGAAGTTGCAGTGAGCCGAGATCACACCATTTCACTCCAGCCTTGGTGAAAGAGCAAGACCCCGTCTCAAAAAAAAAAAAAAAAAGAAAGAAACTGTTAAGTTAAACTATGCATGTAGACCAAAAATGATCTGGCATTGATATTTTTGCATGATTTAATCTAATACCAACTCACTAGCAGACAGTTGTTCCTGTAGGACAATCGCTTTTGTAAGATTTTTACGTGAGCCAAGAGTCAGAGTTTAAGGTTACAAGTCACCGCACAAGAATACTAGGATGACAGTAGGTTCAGATCCCATAAAGAGAGCGGAGGTGGACGTTGGAACTCACCATAGGCTTAAGTATCTTGATCTCCTAACTAACCTGGTGAAGGGCCACAGGTACAAAAATCTATGTTCATTATTTCCTTACTTATTATGAATACTTAATTTCCCTTTTAATCTTTTTTAGATTGCAAAAGTAATATGAGCTCATTGTAGCTAATGAAACAATGCCAGGATATTTTCCTCTCACCCGCCCCCTCCACGCCCAGCCTCTTCCCCCAGGTGACCAATATTAACAGCCATCTCATTTCATTTTAGTTAGAAAATGAGTTGTTCTACACAAATGAATTTGTCCAAGAATCAAAACTGTTCCTTTCACTTATGTTTGTAATACATGATCAGCAATAACTAGCAATAATTTCTCCAGTAGCAGCTTTTCTTCAGAATTATTTCCATCCCCAGTTTACCCCTAATTCCTGAAGTTCTGCCCAGGGCAAATGGTTGCTCACAAGTCAGGGTTATTATTATTTTTTTTTTTGAGACGAAGTTTCACTCTTGTTGCCCAGGCTGGAGTGCAATGGCGCGATCTTTGCTCACCACAACCTCCACCTCCCAGGTTCAAGTGATTCTCCTGCCTCAGCCTCTCCCAAGTAGCTGGGATCACAGGCGTGTGCCACCATGCCTGGCTAATTTTGTATTTTTAGTAGAGATGGGGTTTCTCCATGTTGGTCAGGGTGGTCTCAAACTCTCGACCTCAGGTGATCTGCCCGCCTCAGCCTCTCAAAGTGCTGGGATTACAGACATGAGCCACCATGCCTGGCCAGGGTTATTCTTTTAGTGAGTGCCTTAAAGAATATATGCTGAGATTTCTAGGGTGGCTGCAGTGAGGAGGCCAGTAGGAAGCACCTAATATGCACAAATTTATAGGAAGCCATTGGTTTGCACTAGCTCCTGTACCAGGCCCAACAGACCAAACCAAAATGGAGTCACTCATGCTAAAGTTCCACGCTACCAAACAGAAGCTAAGTTGTTTATCTGACCTTTTGAGAAACCGGGAGAGAGAGAGATAATCCCCTAAACAGGCCAGTTTTAGCTGGCATGATAAACAAGAGCCCTTGGCTTTAATCTTTATTTATTTTTTTGGAGGCAGGGCCTCACTCTGTTGTGCAGGTTGGAATGCAGTGGCACCATCAGGGCTCACTGCAACCTCACACTCCTGGGCTCAAGCGATCCTCCTGCCTTAGTCTCCTGAGCAGCTGGGACCACAGGCGTGAACCAGCACACCCAGCTAATTTCAAAAAAAAAAGTTGTAGAGACGCGGTCTCACTGTGTTGCCCAGGCTGGTCTGGAGCTCCGGCCTTCAAGTGATCCTCCAGCCTCGGCCTTCCAAAGTGCTAGGAGTTACAGGTGTGAGCCACTGCACCTGGCCTAACCTTTAACTTTTTTTTTTTTTTTTTTTTTTTTTTAGATGGAGTCTCCCTCTGCCACCCAGGCTAGAGTGAGTGCACTGGCAAGATCTCAGCTCACCGCAACCTCCACCTCCCAGCTTCAAGTGATTCTCCTGCCTCAGCTTCCTGAGTAGTTGGGATTATAGGCATGTGCCACCACGCCCAGCTAATTTTTGTATTTTTTAATAGAGATGGGGTTTCGCTATGTTGGCCAGGCTGGTCTGGAACTCCTGGCCTCAAGTGATCCACCTTCCTCGGCCTCCCTAAGTGCTGGGATTACAGGTAGTGAGCCACCGTGCCCGGTCTTTTAACTTTGAAATAGCAGTCCACATTTTGTTTCTGCTTTCCCCAGCTCTTTTCTGAATATAAAACCAACCTCCTCTGCTCAGCTCGTGGGAACACTCATTCTGTTTTACAGAAGGAAGTGGTGCCCAATTCTAGAATCACAAATAAAAACCAATTAAGATCTTTAAGCTAAATTTGTTGTGCTTGTGTCTTTGGACACTTACAAACACTTGAAATAACTTGAAATCCTTTAACCACTATGGGTGAAGATTATTCAAGAAAGTATTACACACTGCCTTGACTGTTAAAATGGAATGATTGAGGGTCATTGTCATTCTTATAGTACTTTATATTTGCATAATGTTTATATTTGAAGAGTAGCGCTCCGTCTTTTAATGAATATTGATTACCAACATCTTAAAGGGCTCTTGATGGTTGCTAAATAGTTCTGGTTTAGACACCTTTTGTTTTCTTGAGTCTTTTAAAATGATTCTCTCTGATCCCTATCCCCACCCCTCATTGCCAGTGTCAATCTGTTGTCAGCTGGTGCTCCTTCCTGCTGTCGATATCTTCTTCCATACATTATTGTCAGAGGCGTTTGAACCAGAGCAACTCCATCTTGAATAGGGGCTGGGTAAAATAAGGCTAAGACCTATTGGGCTGCATTCCAAGGATGTTAGGCTTTCCTTTTTTTTTTTTTTTTTTTGAGATGGAGTCTTGCTCTGTTGCCCAGGCTGGAGTGCAATGGCAAGATCTCAGCTCACCGCAACCTCCGCCTCCCGGGTTCACGCCATTCTCCTGCCTCAGCCTCCTGAGTAGCTGGGACTACAGGTGCCCACCACCATGCCCGGCTAATTTTTTGTATTTTTAGTAGAGACAGGGTTTCACTGTGTTAGCCAGGATGGTCTCGATCTCCTGACCTTGTGATCCGCCCGCCTCGGCCTCCCAAAGTGCTGGGATTACAGGCATGAGCCACCGCACCCAGCCAAGGACTTTAGGCACTCTAAGTCACAGGATGAGATGGGAGGTCGCCACAAGATACAGGTCATAAAGACCTTGCTGATAAAATAGGCTGTGGTAAAGGAGCTGGCCGAAACCCACCAAAACCAAGGTGGCGATGAAAGTGACCTCTAGTGGTCCTTCCTGCTCATTATACACAAATTATAATGCATTAGCATGCTACGGGACACTCCCACCAGCGCCATGACGGTTTACAAATGCCATGGCAACATCAGGAAGTTACTCTATATGGTTTAAAAAGGGGAAGAACCCTCAGTTCTGGCAATTGCCCACCCCTTTCCCAGAAAACTCATGAATAATCCACCCTTTGTTTAGCATGTAATCGAGTAATACTATAAGTATCCTTAGTCGAGCAGCCCAAGCCGCTGCTCTGCCTATGGAGTAGCCATTCTTTATTTCTTTTTTAATAAACTTACTTTCACTTTACTCTATGGGCTAATCATGAACTCTTTCTTGCTTGAGGTCCAAGAACCTTCTCTTGGGGTCTGGATTGAGACCCCTTTCCGGTAACATTATTATCTGAAAAATGCTAGATTAAAAAGATCTGTTGTTAGAATTGTTTGAAAACTGTGAGTGGATAGGCTCTAACTGAGATTCTGATGGTCTTTCAGAGGAGTAGGTATATGGAGTAAGCTAAGATGCATATATTTCCTTTTTTTTTCTATTTCCCAGGCTGGAGTGCAGTGGCAAAATCTCGGCTCACTACAACCTCAAACCCCTGAGCTCAAGCGGTCCTCCTGCCTGAGCCTCCCGAGTAGCTGGCACTATAGACACACACTATCATGCCCGAGTAATTTTTAATTTTTTGTAGAGAGATGCGGTCTCACTAGGTTGCCTAAGCTGGTCTTGAACTGCTGAACTCAAGCAATCCTCCTGCCTCAGCCTCCCAAAGTGCTAGGATTATAGGCATGAGCCGCCACGCTTGGCCTTCCTTTTTTTTATTATGAAAAATTTCAAACCTATAAACAAGTAGAGAAGATAGTCTCATGAACCCCATTTCCCTACTGCTCCCTTCAACAATGAACAACATGATACACACTTTTCACCTTGTTTATTCAAAATTCCTTTTGCTCAGTCGTCACTGAATTCTGGATTTTTTTTTTTTTCTTAGACGGAGTCTCCCTCTGTCGCCCAGTCTAGAATGGAATGGTGTGATCTTGGCTCACTGCAACCTCTGCCTCCTGGATTCAGTGATTCTCCTGCCTCAGCCTCCTGAGTAGCTGGGATTATAAGCACATGCCATCACGTCTGGCTAATTTTTGTATTTTTAGTAGAAACGGGATTTCACCATGTCGGCCAGGCTGGTCTTGAATTCCCGACCTCAGGTGATCCACCCGCCTCAGCCTCCCAAAGTCCTGGGATGACAGGCGTGAGCCACTGCGCCCGGCCGAATTCCAGATTGTTGAAGCATCTGGATATTGGCCTCTGGGAATGCCAGGCTTCCCTGTGTTATTATTTTAACTCTGACTGCCCAGAGAGGCCCCAGCCATGTGCCCTTTCATTTCCAAGATGGTTCTCATGAAGCCCTTTCTGCCCAGTGTCCAGGCTGCCCCACAGGTCCCCATGAACTCGTTCCTGCTTCTCAGCCTCTGACCTTCAGGTGACCGTGGGAAGGGCTTGGGAAATCCTCCTTTGTCTGACAGGGAGATCCTGCTGGGGAAGTCCACAGGTATGTAAATGTGCGTTCTATTACCTCATCCAGGTTGTACCCAGAGGCTCTGGAAGGAATTTTTATGAGTCTACAGTGTAAATAAGCATTCCCTCTACCTCCCTACTCCCTGTGATACCAGGCCTGGAAGTTTCCACAGAACATGCTGGCTTCTGAATACATCAAGTCAAGTTTCTTCTGGTCTGAAGCCAGTTCTCTGCAGAAGGCATGCTGTACATTCCCCACAGCTGGACTCTCGGCCAACCACATCCCCCAGACGGCTTTCTGCAATCTTTTCCACGGCCTAATGAAATAGGTCCCCCCATCCCTGTCCTGCAGATGAGGAAATTGAGGTTTACAGAGGTGAAACCCCTTTTCTTAGGTGTGTAATTACCAAGCAAAACAGTTGGGACTCGGATGAGCCTAATCATTGGAGTCTTCATTAATAAATGGAGAACTAATTATAGTCATTGAAGACACTGTTCCTTTTCTGTTGTGATTAATTCCGAATTTATTTTTATCTTCAAAAGAATGAAGACTCGTGCCGGGGATTTGTTCTGAGAAAGAAATGTGCTATTCCTGACAGTCTTCCTTGGCCAGCCCCTTTGTCCACAAAAAAGCCAAGAACCCGTGGCCAGGTCATTCCTGTGCGTTTTGTTTGTTTCTGAAGCTCAAGATTCCCCAGGGATTTATGTCAGCCTAAGCTACTTTTTTTTTTGATGGAGTATTGCTCTGTCACCCAAGCTGGAGTGCAGTGGCGCGATCTCGGCTCACTGCAACCTCCGCCTCCCAGGTTCACGCCATTCTCCTGCCTCAGCCTCCTAAGTAGCTGGGACTACAGGTGCCCGCCACCACACCTGGCTAATTTTTTTGTATTTTTAGTAGAGACAGGGTTTCACTGTGTTAGCCAGGATGGTCTCGATCTCCTGACCTCGTGATCTGCCCGCCTCGGCCTCCCAAAGTGCTGGGATTACAGGTGTGAGCCACCGTGCCCGGCAACCTAAGCTGCTTTTAATGCGCACTGGAGAACCATTTCTACACAATAGAGGGACACCACCTACAAATGAAAACCTCAGTTTCTGCCACAACGCTGGGGAAATTAGGATCTGGCTTGTCTTCGGGGCAAGAGAAGCAGACTGGGTGTGTAATCAAGGGTAGTTCTGCGTGCGTGCCTGCATGTGTGTGTGTGTGTGTGTGTGTGTGTGTGTGTGTTTCAAGAATGAAGGGACCGTGTGGCCCTGGGCAAAGGAGCCACAAGGAGGGATAACACTGAGCCAGGGAGGGACAGCAATTTTCGTAAACTTCTTTTCTAAGCTTTTCTTAGACAGCCCACCCTTCTTTGGGTGGATTTTTCCAAGCTTCAGATATGTTAATAGCGACATCACATCGGAGTTGGGTCCTGGCCCTGGAGACTTTCTGCCTTTCTGTCTCTTTCTGTGGCTTTGCATATCTCTGCTCAGCCTCGCTCCTCCGTGGATATTTTACTGTTATTTACTCCCAAAGGGCAATCTCATTTCCATATTTCTGTGCTGCTGTTAGGGAACAGTGAGGATGGGGCTGGAACTCCTTTCCACACCCACCAAGCAATAGCAGTGAAAAAGCAGACTTCAGTTTGTGTTATTTCTGGTCACACAACTTATTTCTTCCCTTCTTCTTTTCTCTTGCTTCATGCTGCTTCTGCAAATGAAACCTTTAGCTTACACCAGGGAAGCTGTGTTTGTGAGGGAGTGGGTGGAGATCTTGGAAGACCTGGGAGAAGGCTGGGCTTTGTTTTCTCTTTCTTCTCCACGCTCCCACCTCCTTCCCCTCTCTCGCCCCTTTCCCTTCTCTTTTCTATCCTACTCTTCTTTTCTTATTCTATATTCTCTGTCTCCTGTTCCCCAAATTGTTTCTTTCCTCTTTGATCTATTACTGTTTTCTGTCTGCCTCTAGCTTTGCTTCCTCTTCCCTTCTCTTTTTTTTCTTTACCTTTTTTTTTTTTTGTTTGAGACAGAGTCTCTGTCACCCAGGCTGGAGTGTAGTGGTGCGATCTCAGCTCATTGCAAGCTCTGCTTCCCAGGTTCAAGCGATTCTCGTATCTCAGCCACCCAAGTAGCTAGAATTACAGGCGTGTGGCACACAGCCAGCTACTTTTTGTACTTTTTAGCAGAGAAGGGGTTTTGCCATGTTGGCCAGGCTGGGCTTGATCTCCTGGCCTCAAGTGATCCACCTGCCTCCAGCCTCCCAAAGTGCTGGGATTACTGCTTTGAGCCACTGCACCCAGCCTCCTTCCCCCCTTTTTAAACATTGGTGGGCCTGGCCAAACAAGATGCCAACGTAAACCCTTCTTATAAATGAAGACACTCTAGGCCAGGCGCGGCGGCTCACACCTGTAATCCCAGCACTTTGGGAGGCGAGGTGGGTGGATCAAGAGGTCAAGAGATCGAGACCATCCTGGGCAACATGGTGAATCTCCATCTCTACTAAAAATCCAAAAAGTAGCTGGGCATGGTGGCGGGCGCCTGTAGTCCCAGCTACTCGGGAGGCTGAGGCAGGAGAATTGCTTGAACCTGGGAGGCGGAGGTTGCAGTGAGCCGAGATGGCGCCACTGCACTCCATCCTGGGCAACAGGGCGAGACTCCATCTCAATAAATAAATAAACAAATACACTCTGAGAGTACGAATAATACCTGAAAATAAAACCCCCCCTTGTCCTTTGAGATAGGATCTTGCTCTGTCATCCAGGCTGGAGTGCTCTGCTACAATTGCAGCTCCTAATTTTTGTATTTTTGTAGAGATGAGGTTCACCATGTTTCCTAGGCTGGGCTCAAACTACAGGGCTCAAGTGATCTGCCGGCCTTGGCCTCCCAAAGTGCTGGGATTACAGGTGTGAGCCACTGCACTCGGCCCAACAACCTTTGAAATACAGTCTGAAAACCCCACAGTACTCTGGGGATTTTGTTGAAAACACAGATTCCCGGGTCCCATCCCAGACCCACTAATCTCTGGGAAGGTGGCCTAAAAATAGGCATCCTTTCTAACATGTTTCTCCAGTGATCCTTATACATGTTTAAGTTTCAGAATCTTTGGCTGGAACTCTGGCTGAGATTCTGGATGAGAAAATCAAGGAAGGGATGGATAGAACTCTTCACACTTCCTCTTCCATGGAGGCCCAACGCCAGGTTTCTTCCGGACTGCAAGGGGAGAACTGGACCCATTTATTTCTCTGAAGTCATGATTCCAAAATGCTTATTTTCAGTATATTAACTTTCTTTCCCTTCCCAGTATCTTCTTGAAACCGATTCTCAAGATCACTGAGAAGTACATAAAACTTCCATTATGGTGCAGGAAGACAATATTAGAACAGCTATTTGAATATTACATCTACTTCAATATAACCTTTTTAAATTTTTAATTCTATGATAATATGCTTATTAGTTTAGTGGTTCATCTATTTAATTCATAGATAAGAGAAGTAGATATCTCCGGGAGTTTTACTGATAGGGGTGTAGAGTCAAAAAAGTTTGGAAAGCATCTCTGTAGAATTTAGACTACAAATTCTTTGAGATTAGAATACCATTGTGATTATTATTTTTTTTTTGAGAGAGAGATGAAGTCTTGCTCTGTCACCCAGGCTGGAGTGCAGTGGCATGATCTCAGCTCACTGTAACCTCCACCTCCCAGGTTCAAGTGATTCTCCTGCCTCAGCTTCCCAAGTAGCTGGGATTACAGGTGCCCGCCACCATCCCCAGCTAATTTTTGTATTTTTTTAGTAGAGACGGGGTTTCACTATATATTAGCCAGGCTGGTCTCAAACTCCTGACCTCAGGTGATCCACCCACCTTGACCTCCCAAAGTACTGAGATTACAAGCGTGAGCCTCCGCACCCAGCCAGAATACTATTACTATTATTATTATTATTATACTTCAAGTTTTAGGGTACATGTGCACAATGTGCAGGTTAGTTACATATGTATACATGTGCCATGCTGGTGTGCTGCACCCATTAACTCGTCATTTAGCATTAGGTATATCTCCTAATGCTATCCCTCCCCCCTCCCCCCAATACTATTATTTTTTAACAAACCATATTGAAAAATAGCATCCACACAGAGAAGCGCACAAATTAGTATACAGACTGGAGAACAGCTCATGTAACTAGCAAGAGGATCAAGGAATAGATTATTATCAGCAACCTAGACACCCCTGTGCCGTCACTACCTTTCCCCAAAATAACTCCTCTCCTGACTTCTAGGAATGTCATATAAATGGAATTGTTACAGTCTCGCCAATGCACCCAATGTAGCATTGGTGTACCTTGGTGTTGCCCAAGGTATCACCTGAAGTTCTTTGTCTCATGACCAAGAAAATTAAGGAGCATAGACACCAAGGGTGAGGTTGGAGCAAAAGTTTAATAAGTGAAAGGAGAAAGCTCTCCATTGCAGAGAGGGGGCCTGAAAGAGGGTTGCCGTTTCACAGTTGAATACAGAGGCTTTTATAAGAAACCAGTGAGGGCTGGGCTTCTCATTTGTATAAGGTGTGAATTTCTGGTAGCTCCACCTCATCCTCCTAGTGCACATGGGGCTCCTTAGCTTGAATTACTCCACATTGCTTTGTTCCTCTTACTGCGCATGTGTCAGGGGGTGGAATTTTCCATTGTGGGCATGTCTGGGCAAGTCCCCTGTGTAGCCTTTCTTATCTATGTGGCTGTTGGCATGTCTTAGGCAAGCCACCCTGTGCAAGTTCCCTAATCTGTGCCTGCAGTTTGATTTTTCAGGCTGTTGTTTTGTTTGAAATAATTTTACCAAGGACCCACCCTAACTGCCTGCCTGACTGGTTTCTTCCTTCCTCCTCTCTCAGAATCATGATGTCTCTGCTCTTTAGTGTTTGGCTGCTTTTGCTCTTTGCTCCACATTACATCTATGGGATTCACTTATATGTAGCAATAGTTTGTTTATTCTCTCTCTTTTTTTTTTTTTTTTTTGAGATAGGGTCTTACTGTGTCACCCAGGCAGGAGTACAGTGGTGTGATCTCAGCTCACTGTAGCCTCGACCTCCTAGGCTCAAGCGATCCTCCCACCTCAGCCTCTTGAGTAGCTGGGACTACAGGTACATGCCATCATGCCTGGCTAAATTATTTTATTTTATTTTATTTTTAGTAAAGATGAGGCCTCACTGTGTTGACCAGGCTGGTCTCAAGCTCCTGGTGTCAAGAGATCCCCCCACCTCAGCCTCCCGGTATTCTAGGATTACAGAGGTGAGCCATTGTACCAAGCCTGTTTATTCTAAGTGTAGAGTTTTCCATTGTATAAATATGTCATGATTTATCAATTCTAGTTTGATGGATATTGGGTTGTTTCCAGTTTGGGGCTGTTATAAATAGTGCTGCTATGAACATTGTTATACATCTTCTGTTGGACATATCAACGTATCTTAGTTGGTTATATGCCTAGAAGGGGATTAGATGAGTTATGGAGAACACTCAATTCCACTGTGCTAAATACTGCCAATTTTCCAACAGGCTCTCACCAGCAGTGTATGACAGCTCCGGGTGTAGCACAGCCTCTCCAATATGTGGTATTTTCTGTTCTGTTTTTATCTTCATCACTTCTGAGTGTATATTGATACCTTCTTATGATTTAATCAAAATCAAAGAAAAGCAAATCATGCTTTCTTGATGATTAATGATGTCGTGCATCTTTTAATATGACCAATAGGTCATTTGGATATCTTCTTTTGTGAAATGCCTGTTCAAGTTCTTTGCCCATTTTTCTGTTGGGTTGTCTATGTTTTCTTTATTGATCTATAGGAATTGTTTTCTTTTAAAACCTATTTTTCTTTTTTTTTTTTTTAGAGACAGGGTCTTGCTGTGACACTCAGGTTGGAGTGCAGTGGCACAATCATAGCTTTCCTAGGCTCAAATGATCTTCTTGTTTCAGCCTCCCTAGTAGCTGGGACTACAAGCACATGCCCCCATGTCCAGCAAATTTTTTATAGAGATGGGGTCTCACTATGTTGCCCAGGCTGGACTTGAGCTCCTGGCTTCAAGTGATCCTCGAACCTCAGCCTTCCAAAGCTTTGGAATTACAGGCATGAGCCACCATGCTCAGCCAGTATTCTTTATATAGCTGTCATAGTTATCTCTCTATCCCTAGGCCCAGCACACTGTCCATTTTCTAATATGTGTTTAACACCTCTTCGAGCTGTTGTTGAATGAAATAGCACACATGAGTTGAAAAAGATAACTCTTGTTGGGTGATGAAGATCATTATGAATTTTGATTTTTGCTCAACACTAACAATTTTTTGAGGTATAATTTATATGCCCCGAATTTTACTTGTTTTATGTGTACAGTTTCGTGACTTACTGTGTTGTGTGATCATTACCACAAACTAATTTTAGAACATTTACATCGCCTCAGAGAAACCTTGTGTTTGTTTCTTTCTTCCTTGTTTGCAGCTCCAACTCCAGGTGACCACTAATTTTTAAATTGTGTCTATGGATTTGCCTTTTCTGGACGTTGCATATAAATGGAATCATATAATACATTGCCTTTTGTGTCTGGCTTCTTTCACTTAGCACAATGTCTTTGAGGTTCATCCATGTTGTAGCGTGAATCAATATCTCCTTCTCATGGCTGAGTAAATATTCCATTGTATTGGCATACTACATCTTGTCTATCTATTCACCAGCTGATGGACATTTAGATTATTTCCACTGTTTGACTTCTGTGAATAATACTGCTATGAACATTCACTACAAGTTTTGTGTGGACATATGTTTTCATTTCTCTTAGGTAGATGCCTCGGAATAAATTGCTGGGTCATTAGGTAAATTTATATTTAACTTGCTTTTTCTTCCTTTTTCTTTTTTTTAGACAGGGGCTTGCACTGCTGCCCAGGCTGGAGTGCAGTTGTGTGGTCATGGCTCACTGCAGCCTCGATCTCCTAGGCTCAAGTGATCCTCCCACCTCAGCCTCCTGAGTAGCTGGGACCACAGGGATATGTCACCACGTCCTGTGGCTAAATTATTTTATTTATTTTCTATTTTATTTTATTTTTTGTAGAGACAGGGGTCTTACTATGTTGTCTGGGCTGGTCCTAAACTCTTGGCCTCAAGGGAACCCACAGCCTCAGCCTCTCAAAGCATTGGGATTACAGGTATGAGCGACCACGCCTGGCTATGTTTAACGTTGTAAAGAAATGGAAACCTTTCCATTTCTCTGCCATCCATAGGCTGATAGAAAGGTGTATAAGGTTGTCTTGGGTAGAAATGAAATACCAGCCACCACATAACTAACAAATGCACAGTGTCTAGAGAAAGCTCTGACACAGGTTTATACAACAACTTAGCAAGTAGAAAATCTAAATATGAACAGGGTCCAAACAATCTATGCAAAAGATCAAGAAGTACTGAATGCCTGCTTTTTGTATGAGTCAACGTTAGGCTTTAAGAAGGATAGATAGGCTAGGCATGGTGGCTCATGCCTGTAATCCCAGCACTTTGGTAGGCAGAGGTGGGTGGATCACCTGAGGTTAGGAGTTCGAGACCAGCCTGGCCAACAGGGCGAAACCCCATCTCTACTAAAAATACAACATTAGCCGGGCGTGGAGGCGCATGCCTGTAATCCCAGCCACTCAGGAGGCTGAGGCAGGAGAATCACTTGAACTTCGGAGGTGGAGGTTGCAGTGAGCCAAAATCATGCCATTGCACTGCAGCCTGGGTGACAAGAGTAAAACTCAGTCTAAAAAAAAAAAAGATAGATGGAAATTTAAAACAAAGATGCTATCCCTCTCCTGAGTTACTAACAGTCTAACCAGTAAAATAAGACTTAATAATAATTATTATTTTTTTAAAAAGCAAAAGTAGGCTAGGTGTGGTGGCTCACGCCTGTAATCTCAGCACTTTGGGAGGCCGAGGCGGGCAGATCACGAGGTCAGGAGATTGACACCTGCCTGGCTAACACGGTGAGACCCCGTCTCTACTAAAAATACAAAAAATTAGCCGGGCGTGGTGGCAGGCGCCTGTAGTCCCAGCTACTTGGGAGGCTGAGGCGGGAGAATGGCATGAACCCAGGAGGCGGAGCTTGCAGTGAGCCGAGATAGTGCCACTGCAGTCCAGCCTGGCTACAGAGCGAGACTCCATCTCAAAAAAAAAAAAAAAAAAAAAGCAAAAATAAATTAGCCAGGCATGGTGGTGTGCACCTGTAGTCCCAGCTAGCTTCTCTGGAGGCTGAGGTGGGAGGATGGCTTGAGACGCGAGGCAGAGGATGCAGTGAGCCAAGATCACACCATTGCACTCCAGTCTGGGCAATACAGCCAGATCTTGTCTCAATTTAAAAAAAAAAAAAGCAAAAATAATTAAAGATTTAAATACAATTTCAAGATAGTAATATAAATCAGAGAGGGAGAAGGCAGGAGGGAAAATTGATAAGGGAGGAATTTATCTTTCCTTCAAGATCCTGGGAGAAAACAGAAAGCCAAAGTGTGTTTCTACAAAATTTGTGGCATCCCAAAGATGTAAGAGTTCCTCCTTCTATTGTTGCTCTAGAAATCTTAGTTAAAAAAGAAGTGTTACGTAATAAATCACCAGGACCCTTGAACTGGATAGATAAAAACAATCGCTAACATAGGGGCATTTAATGTGCCAGGCACTGCTCTAAACAGTTTACATGCTTCCTCACTTAATCTTCTTAATAACTCTATGATATTAATACTACTGTTGTCTTCTTGTAGTGATGAGGAAAATGACGCTCAGAGACGTAAGTAAATCACCCAATGCCACACAGCTAGAAAGTGGCAGAAATGGGGTTTGAATAAAGGCAGTCCAGAGCCAACATATTTAACCACTAACTACATTTAACCATTTAAATTCCCATATTCCAGTTACTGGATTCGATCTCCAATTACAGACGGGGAAATAGACCCAAAGGTATGGGAAGACTTGAGGATTTGGAGGTTACCTGATTGATAAGAGATCAGCAACAGGAGTTCCACTAACTGCTAGTCCAGTCTTATTTCTATGAAGACTGACATTGGGTATCACCAGAGAGTCTTTTCTTTTCTTTTCTTTTCTTTTTTCTGAGATGGAGTCTTGCTCTGTCGCCAGGCTGGAGTACAGTGGCGTGATCTCGGCTCACTGCAACCTCCACCTTCCAGGTTCAAGCGATTCTCCTGCCTCAGCCTCCTGAGTAGCTGGGATTACAGGCACGCGGCACCACACCTAGCTAATTTTTGTATTTTTAGTAAAGATGGGGTTTCACCATGTTGGCCAGACTGGTCTCAATCTGCTGGCCTCGTGATCCGCCCGCCTTGGCCTCCCAAAGTGTGGGGATTACAGGCATAAGCTCTCACAGGCTGTGCCCAGCCTAGAGAACTTTCTCTTAAGATGCTATTTGTGGGTGAGTCACTAGGATACCTGCTTTCTGACTGGCAGGGGGGACGACAGAAAGCAACACCAGTGTACAATAAGCTAGAATTGAGTTCAAAGCTGATTCTGCTGTTGACCAGCTGTATGATGGTGAGCAAGTCACACTCTTTGAGCCCAGTTTCTTTACCTGAAAACTGGGACAACAGTCACCTCATCAGCTCGTAGGATTACAGGAATGAAATGAATTAAGTGGAGAAATTAACAGCTATTATCATTTTTGGTTGCTGCAGGAATGTTTGAGGTGGGTCAGGTAGAACTCAAGTGTATGGCATGCTGTGTAGGCTGCGATTTCTCAAGTCCAAACTGGATCACAGTTCCTCACGGGCATGCAGAGAATTAGGGTTGCAGGATGGCTGGAAATCAGTTGTCCTACCTTGATTCAGGCCACATCATCAGGAATGAAGCCTCAGAACAGCCTGCTGGAAGTCACATATTTTCCTGATACAAGGAATTGTATCTCTTTTAAAACTTCATTGGGCCAGCTATTTTTAATGACTGTTTTTGATATGAAGTTATGCAGCTCCGCTTTAAGGGACTCTTAGTGGTGACTGTGGTCAAGAGTTTGTTTCTTTATATTTCCGGCCAAGCGAATGTTCAAGACTTTGCAATTGATGGACTATTACAAATAATCTGCTTGTGTCACTTTGCCCATGGCCAGAGAACAGATGGAGGCTGCTCAGGTGAGATGGCTTAGCTGCAGACTAGGGCTCAGTAGTGACTCTTAAAACCTGGGCATGAGTATTTTTAAAAAGTTGCATAATGACTGTAATGTGCAGCCAGGATTGAGAACCATTGAACTAGGTGAAAGGCTCTGTGCCAGGGTCTGATTCAAAGCATAGACAGGTGCGCAAGATCTTCAGGCTCTTGGAGCCCGGCCTGACTGGTTTTGTAATGGATATCTAGGCAGTCATAGTAAGAGGTGAAGCTAGAGGAGGCGTTGTGGAGGGCCTGAAATGTACAGGCAGAGAAGTTTGTACCAAATTTAAAAGGCAATAGGGAGCCACAGAAGGTGACTGGGGGAGGGGGGAAGGAGTAGACAGAGGTATACAGGCGTATTAAAGGGTCCAGCTTTTTTTTTTTTTGAGACGGAGTTTCACCCTTGTTACCCAGGCTGGAATGCAGTGGTATGATCTCCGCCCACTGCAACTTCCACCTCCCGGGTTCAAGCCATTCTCCTGCCTCAGCCTCCTGAGTAGCTGGGATTACAGGCACCCGCCACCACGCCCGGCTAATTTTTGTATTTTTAGTGGAGATGGGGTTTCACCTTGTTGGCCAGGCTGGTCTTGAACTCCTGACCTCAAGTGAGCCATTCGCCTCAGCCTCCCAAAGTGCTGGGATTACAGGCGTGAGCCACCGCGCCTGGCCGAGTCCAGCTATTTACAGGCTAAAAAATGTACTTTATTTTATTTCTTTAAAATTTTTTATGGAGTAGACTAGCAAAGAAACCAAGCTTTCTTTTACTTCTGTACGGTCAGTTCAAGGTCAACATTCTGCAGCACTCAGGTTCACTGGTCCCTGGAGAGCAGGGACTGGCCCAAATGATGTTTGTAGTACCTGGCACATCGCATGGAACATGGCAGCCTCCTGGTAATGTTTGTTGACTGACTACATGAGTGTAGACTCTTTAGCCAACCCATCTCGATTTCGGGAGGGCTGGTACCCTGGGCCGGCCTTCCCTCTGCAAGTAAAAGCATTGGTGCTGTTCCTCTCACCGTTCGCCTTTCCTCCATTTATCCCCATCGACTGTTTCCAATTCTATCAACTCCGACCCCGTCTTCTCTCCATTCCGTCCCTCCAGCGTGCCACGCTGCCACCAGGCTGCTGGGCTCAGGCGCCAGGCTTCAAACCTGTCTTTCACCCATTGTTCAGTTTCCGGTGAGACAAGTTCAACCCCAGGTTCAACCACTACAATGACAACCACAAACGATCCCTCGCAGACACCTCGAAGAAGCCGCCCGCACGCCACGGGCCGCCAGGCCTACAAAGCAGGCACAGAACAGAGGGGCGTTTCCATTCCCGCGGTCCCCGGCGGTGGGGGCGCGAGTGGGAGCCCCTCTCCCCAGTGACAGGCCCCTCTGCGAGGGAGCGCGCAGCCCTCCGCGGGCGTGGCCGCCCTGGCCCCGCCCCGGCCCGCCCCCTCGCCAGTGAGCTAACCCCCGCCCGGCCACCCGGCCGCCAGCTCCTCTCCACGGCCGCCCGCCGCGGAGTCCTGCCGCGGGGGATGCTCCGGGTCCCACCTCCCGGGGGAGCTGCGCATTTCCGCGCGCCAGGGCGGCCCCGGCCCCGGTCCCGGCCCCGGCCCCGGCCAGCCCTCGCGGCGGCAGCCCGCGTTCCGCGTTCCCGGGAAGTTGTCTCCGGAGCCCGCGGCGCCTGGGTCTCCTCCCCCTGAGCCCCGCCCCCCAGCCCAGAGCTAGGATCCGCGAGCTGCCCGGCCCGGGGGCGTCGCCGCTCGCTCTGCGAAGCCAACGAGTCTCTGCTTCCCGGCGCGGAGCGCGCGTCCCCCGCCTGCCTGAGGACCCCCGCGCACCCCAGAGACGGCGCGCGCCCAGAGCGCGGGAGCCCGGAGCGCCGGGCGCCTGGGACCCCGCGGAGCCGCTGCCCAGCCCGTGGGGCTCGGCGGGAATGCAGGCTGCGCTGTGAACCCGGGCGCCAAGGCCATGTCCGGCGCTCGCTGCCGGACCCTGTACCCCTTCTCCGGGGAGCGGCACGGCCAGGGGCTGCGCTTCGCCGCGGGCGAGCTGATCACGCTGCTGCAGGTCCCGGACGGCGGCTGGTGGGAAGGCGAGAAGGAGGACGGGCTCCGTGGCTGGTTCCCGGCGAGCTACGTGCAGTTGCTGGAGGTAAGGGGCGAGGGCCGGGGCTGTAGGAGCCGGGGCTGCGGTCCTCGGTGCGCTCGCGTACCTGTTGCCCGTTCCGGGGATGCCGCAGCGTCCCGGTCGGAGGGGCGCCCCGGGGGGCAGCCCTTGCCGGCGCTACCTGTAGCTCCACGCTCCTGGGGGGCAGCGACGGCAGCGGGCGCCCCTCGGGGCGTGGGCAACGCGGACTCGCGGGGAGCTTCCACCTTGCGCCGGGCCTCCGGAGCACACCGTGGCTGCTCTGAGGAAGCGAGAACTTGTTGCCTGTGTGAGTTAAGGAGCAGGCGGGAGCGTTCCCGGCAGTGGCAGGGGCCGGTGAAGGGTCTGGCGGTCTTGGGAAGAGGCACGGAGGATCAGGGGTGCGAGAAAGTGGCACCGACTCGGTCCCGCAGCCCCGCGTCTCCACCCCGGAGTCTAGAGCCTGATGACCCGTGGACGGTCGTGCTGCCTTGGGTCAGGCTGCCTGGCCGCCTCGGGACCACCCACTTGCTGGTCAGCCGAGCCTGCTGGCCACCAGCCCGAGCCCCCTCAGCAGGCTTGATCCTGGGGTGCCGTAGCACCCCCCGCCACTGCCTGCTCCCCTGGTCCAGCTCCCCGAGGCTAAGGCTCAGAACCCGAAAGTGGCTTGTTCCTGGGGTTCTGGCCTGGCCCCAGGGCTGCACAGGACCTGCTGAGGCAAGGCGGCTGGCTGTTTATTGTCTATGTGACAGGCTGTCCTCTAATCACTGAGCTCGCAGTCACAGCCTGAGTGAGACCCGAAGTTTCTAAAGTCCTTTGTGTGTGGGGGGGTGACCTTCCAGGACATCCCCTTTACTAGAAGCCCGCCTGCCCCCAGGATTCTTGTAAAGACTAAATTAACAGTTACCTTCAATGGTGTCAGTATTCCTAAACATTCTGGTAAAACACTGCCGGAAGAAATCATGGAGGCTGAATTTATTTATTATTTAACTCTTGACCTACTTCACAGAGAAAGTAGCAAATTTTGACTGAGAATGCTCAGTGCAATTCATCGGGGGCGGGGGGAAGAAAGAAAGAAGTGAAATGGTTACAGGGTGAGTCCGCCTGAGGATGTATCCTGTGGCAACATTGTCAGCAAGAGCCTGGCCTTATAAAAGTACATTAGATTGCTTTCAGGTCCAGAGAACAACAAAATCTCTCCTAAAGGCATCAGTAGCATTTGAGCAAAGTTTAGGGGCTGCTGGAATGAGCTTTCATGGGCTGTCAGCAGAGTATGTTGCAGGAACCCTCTTGGTTCTGTATCTGGAGAATCCGGAGATACCCTACTTGTAGGAGAGGCTCAGGTGTGCCCTGCCCTGGCTTTTCCAGTTCCTTTCCCGAGATTCGGATGTAAAAGAAAGCGAACGTATTGCTTCTTACATGAGAAGCAAGGGGCCTCCTTGTTTCTAGCTTGAAGCCCTGGGATAGATACGTATTTTGGGAGTTCTTCGGGTGGTCACCCTTTTCCAGGAAATTCTGATGTGGAAATTTGGCTGATGGATGTCTGTCCGGTGAGGAGCATCCCTGGCTGGACTGAGCCAGCTGTGTTTTGTGTAGGGGTGAGGCTGGGTAGGTGTTAGTTAGCAAGAGTGGAGTGCTGCTTTTTCTTCCGGGAAAGGGACGATGGACCAGGGCCAGGGGACAAGCGGAATTAACAACTGGGACAGTTTTGGGTGTGTCTGTCCCATCCTCTGGCATATACAAAGGTAAGAGATCTCTGGTGTCTCAGGGCCTCTCAGACCATTCCTGACTAGTAACTTGCAACAGAAGCATCCATCTGCGTGAGCAATACTTCTGAGCACCTGCTTGGCACAGTGTGTGCACGTTATCACCAGTTCCCTGACAGCTCTGTGAAGGGTGAGGTACTTCCCCCATTTTATAGACAAGCAAGCTGAATATGAGAGAGGCGAAGTCAGCTCCCCAACTAGTAATGCTTGCGTGTTTTGTTAGCAGCTCAGATGACTGAGTATCACCCCCTGCGCCTGTGCCTTTTTTAAACATGATAGCCCGGGCTCAACTATGCCAAACAGCGTGTGAGCGAAGGGTCTGGATCCATGGGGAAAAGGGGCATGCGCAGCCCCTGAGGTCAGCATGTTGGTGACAGCACCGCGAAGGGGAGGCTGAACCTCTAGGGCTAAAACGAGGACAGCTGCATCCAGGAGCAACTTGGAGGATCTTCCCTGCTAACCCCAAAGTGTGACTTTACTCAGAACCAGCTGGGGGTCTTCCCACAGTGGGCCCGAGTCCTGTATCCTAAGTACTGGGTGGGACTCTTCTCAGGGCCAAAGCAGATGCAGTTTCAACAGGGGGGCATGTGGGTCAGGTGCTTGGCATCTGGGAACCTCCTACATGAGCAAGTTGGACCTCAAGGCTGAAGGCTAGGTAGAGATAGAGGACATGCAAGCAGAGTTGCTTGGGATGGGGTGAGTCCTGAAGGGCAGACTCAGAGAATGCAGAGGTCCCCAGGCTGGTGGGTAGACTGGCCAGCATCTGGACTCATGAGACTAGAGAGGGGGCCCATAGATACTGGAGATGGCGAACCTCATGAGATGTCAGCCAATGTGGTGCTGTCACTCAGCTTGCTTGGGAGCATGGAGTTCAGAAGGCCAGGGCAGCTGTTGGAGAAACAAGTACAGACAGATGGACTGTACTAGCCTCCTGGCCTAGGGATGGGATTGTGGGTACACAGATGAATATGGCATCTCTAATGTGCTCCCTACTCCAGCGGAACTTTCACCCTGATAGAAAGAGTGATACTAGGAAACCCCATCTTGGTGGAGGGGAGGGAGGCACTGAATACTGTGTGCACACTGGATACTTCCCAAGGAGATCTTCCTTGTTCAGATGAAGCAAGGGGAACCGAGAGACCCAGCCTTTGCAGGAAGCATACACGGGGGAGGGGAGTTGGGAGCTAACTCCAAGAGAGTCACCAGATCTGACCCAGTGGCCAGCTAGCCCTTGGGAGGAGGCCAGCTTGGAGGAGGTCTTGGTTTTTGGGGCAATCTCTTTGGTCAAGACTCCAAGGAAATGGTATAGCACATACTTGGCTTCCAGAGAGCAGCTTCCAGGAAAACCTCAGCACAGGCAGGGAAGTGTAGAGGTCTCTGGTAGGCCCAAGGACTCTGGCCACAAGGGTTCTTCCTACTCGGGGTGGTGCAGCTCTTCAAAGGATGGGCAGAGGGAAACACCTACCTCCAGAAAAGGAATAGGCCTTACAGCCAAGGCCCACAGCTGGTTATTAGATAAAATCAACTAGAAAAATCTTTCCTGAGGGTTTCTTCTGCTATGACGAGGGACAGGAATTAAGAAGTCTTTTTTTTTTTTTTTTTTTTTTTTTGAGACAGAGTCTCGCACTGTTGCTCAGGCTGGAGTGCAGTTGTATTTTGAGTAGAGGTGAGGTTTCGCCGTGTTAGCCAGCATGGTCTCGATCTCCTCACCTTGTGATCCACCCGCCTCGGCCTCCCAAAGTGCTGGGATTACAGGCGTGAGCCACTGTGCCCGGCCGAGAAGTCTTTTTAACATCATTTGAGAGATATGGTAGAGGAAGAGACCTGAGACCAGAGATAGGAGCTGTGGGAGCATGTTCTGCCAGCTCCAAGCTAGGCCTGAGATTGCCTCCATAGACCTGGGAACCCCACATGTGGGAATATTTCCACCAGCTTTCTAGGGTACATCAAGGCTGAGAAATAGCTCCTGGGGAAGGTGGATAGAGAATCCTAGATCTCCATCCTGGGGAAAATTTGGAGAGAAAGACATGGTACCAGGACAAGCCCAGTGGCTGGACAGGTCAGTGGTTGGAGGGTTTAATAGGGTCCAGGAATTCCTGTGGCCTGTACTTTCCTTGAATGGAGAGAAGAAATTAGGGACCTGGGGAATGTTGTAAGGCATCTACAAAACTTCCCAGAGCTTTTGGGAAATAATTCTGGGGGACAATGGGATTGGAATGCAAACAAAATAGAGCTTTCTTTGAACTAGGTGGTATTCTTAGAATCCAGGATCTGGCTGGATAATCTGGACCTTTTCTCTTTCCTAAAAAGAGCCTTTTCCTTTCTTTCTGGGTTACTAACAGAATATGACACTGTTTGCTGGCACAACTAGAATGGCTGCTGAGGGTCACCGTTAAACTTGATTTTCTTCACTCTACCCTTTGTTCTCCCATTTTGGGTTCATGCAGTTGTGCTGCAGGAGTTGATAAGGAGTGTCTGTGGGAGAGAGTGGGCTGTGCTATGGATAATTAAGGAATGATGTTTTATCTATTGCCATGTAACAAGCCACTCCAAGATTTAGTGTTTCAAAGCAACAATTTCTTATTATCTGGCATGGTTTTGTGGATTGACGGGGCTCAGCTGGGTGGTTCTTCTGCTGGTCTGTCTCAGTGTCTCTCATGCAGTTGCAATCAGATGGTGGCTGGGGCAGAGTCTTGGAGGCTCAACTAGACTGCAGCCTCCAAAATGTCATCTTCACTCACCTGTCTGGTGCTTTGATGTTCTTCCATGTGGCGCCTTTCTCCATGTAGTGTTTCATTCTCCAGGGCCTTTCCACATGGCCTTTCTCTTCAGGAGTTATGTGGTAGCTGGCTTCTAAGAATGCAAAGGCATACATTGCCAGGCCCTCTTAAGGTCTGGGCCCAGAACTGGCATATCGTTTCTGCCACATTCTATTGGGAAAGTAGTCACAGGTCTGTCCAGAGTCAATTTGGAAGGGAGGTGGGTACAGGTGCGGTTATGAGGGAGGCGTGGTTCATCGAGGGCCATATTGCAGACTAGCTCCCTCAGAAGGCTAGGGAGAACATACATGGGACAGATGATCCATTAGTGAGGAGGTAGTGCTGGGCCAGACTGATGAGAGAGAGAACCCCAAGAGGGAGGTAAAATGCAGAGACTTGGCAGTTCTACCTCTATCGCAATCCTTGGAGGGTTTTTTTTTTTTTTTTTTGACTCTAGAGGTTTCTTTCTAAAGGCCACATGATAAACGATGCAGCTGGAATTTGAAATCAGATTTGCCTGGCTCTGGGCCTGTCCACTAAGCCATTGACATACCAGTCCAGCTTTTTTTAGGCCAGGGCTGTTCAGTGCTGATGATTCATAGACATAGTGGATCTGAGCTCCCTGACATCTAATAGATGTTTGCTATATTACACAAATTGATTTTAATACAGAGCCTTTTCCTTTCTTTCTGCAACATGAAAATCACCCAAAATGAGTGTGACCTTGTCCCTCATGCTAGTATTTTTCAGTCAGTCATCAACTCTGTTCACAAAAGGTGCAATTAGGGCTTGTGGCTCGGAGGGGTGGGTAATTGTGACTGAAAAGACCAGCGTGCTTTCTGACATCTTCACTAAATCACCCTCCTCCTTGGTATGGGGGCTGTGGCCAGTATTTGTAGCTCCTGGTGTTAGAAAATGACCTTTGGCCCACCACTCTGTCAGCCTCAGCTCAGAAGGAACCACCTCTTTTGTCACACTTGTGTGCTGGACTGGTCAGTGGCTACCCCACAGGACTTTAAAGCAATGAGCAAGGCTTATGGATTGAGTGGATTCAGGGCATTTTCACAAAAGTTCCCTTAGCAACAAGTCGGCGGGAATCCCTGACATCTGTTCACCGCTCTGTGGATCCCTGATGTCTGTTACCACCTAGAAACATGAATGAGAGGCTGACCTTCACGTACTCTTCTCAGTCTGGAAAAGCCCAGCTTTTTTCTGATGGTGTGGTAGACCTTGTCTGTGAACACGGATACTGATCCTCACTTCGCTGGTGAAAGAAAATGTTTTTTGGTAAACCAGGAAACCTTGTGTACATGTAAGGTATTTTGACTATTATCAGGCCAGCCCAGGGGACTGTGCTGTCTTATTACTCACAGCAGCAAGGCGACACATGACAGGCTTTCTAACAAAATGTCAGGAGGGATTCCTCTGTACTTAAATGCAAAATTAGTATATTTCTCTGTCTCCCTGCAATGGCGAGGCTTCTGGGGTGGTATTTATGCCTATGGCGAGAAGAAGAAGTGGCGGCTGGCAGATCTCTCTGGCTTTTCCTTGGCTGACCAGAACATGTTGTGACGTTGTGAAAGTTTAGTTGCAGTAGGTATATGAACTGTGAGAAGTTTTTGAGGAGTCTTAAGAGGATCCACCCACCTCCTTTCTTCACGTTTTCTGTCTTCCCTACCATCTTTAAGAATTTGTTTTTAGTTTAACTTCCTAGTTCTCCGTCTACTACTCTTCTTGAGCTTGGAGCTGGTTTTCAGATTCAACCTCTAGGTACTCAAATTTCATATGTCAAAACTAAACTCATCATCTCTCTCCTCTTTTTTTTTTTTTTTTTTGAGATGGAGTCTTGCTTTGTTGCCCAGGCTGGAGTGCAGTGGCGTGATCTCGGCTCACTACAACCTCCGCCTCCTGGGTTCAAGTGATTCTCCTGCCTCAGCCTCCTGAGTAGCTGTGATTACAGGCTTCCACCACCATGCCTGGCTAATTTTTGTATTTTTAGTAGAGGTGGGGTTTCACCAGGTTGGCCAGGCTGGTCTCGAACTCCTGACTTTGTGATTCACCCGCCTCAGCCTCCCAAAGTGCTGGGATTACAGGCGTGAGCCACCGTGCCCAGCCCTCTCTCCTCTCCTTACTGCCTTTTTTTTTTTTTTTTTTGACACAGGGTCTTGCTCTGTTGCCCAGGCTGGAGTATAGTGGCATGATCATGGCTCACTGCTGCCTTGACCTCCTGGGCTCAAACGATCCTCCAAGTAGCTTGGACTATAGGCACCTGCCACCATGCCTGGCTAATTTTTGTATTTTTTGTAGAGACAGGGTTTCACCATGTTTCTCAGACTGGTCTCAAACTCTTGGGCTCAAGTGATCCTCCCACCTTGGCCTCCCAAAGTGCTGAGATTACAGGCATGAGCCACCGTGCCCAGCCTCTTCACTGCCTTCTGTTCCCAACCTCTAAACCAAGCTTGTGGAACATGTGGCCCAGGATGGCCTTTGAATGGGGCCCAACACAAATTTGGAAACTTTCTTTTTTTTTTTTTGAGACGGAGTTCCGCTCTCGTTGCCCAGGCTGGAGTACAATGGCGTGATCTCGGCTCACTGTAACCTCTGCCTCCTGGGTTCTAGCGATCCTCCTACCTCAGCCTCCTGGGTAGCTGGGATTACGGGCATGCGCCACCACACCCGGCTAGTTTTGTATTTTTAGTAGAGATGGGATTTCTCCATGTTGGTCAGTCTGGTCTTGAACTTCCCACCTCAGGTGATCCACCTGCCTTGGCCTCCCAAAGTGCTGGGATTACAGGCGTGAACCACCGTGCCTGTTCTTAGGTTTGTAAACTTTCTTAAAACATGAGGGTTTTTTTTTTTTGTGAGATATATATTTTTTAGCTCATCAGCTATAGTAGCGTTAGTGTATTTTATGTGAGGCCCAATATAATTTTTCTTCTTTCAGTGTGGCCCAGGGAAGCCAAAAGATTGGACACCCCTGCTCTAAACTTTAGTGAATGTCACCACCATCTGTCCACCAAGTTCCCTGATATCTCTCCCCTTACCTTTCCTCTCCTGTTCAGTAGGCTAGCAAGCCTCGTCCCTTCCCTTCTTCCTTAGAAGCATTTCTTTTTTTCTTTTTTTTTTTTTTGAGACGGAGTCTTGCTCTGTCGCTCAGGCTGGAGTGTAAAGGCACGATCTTGGCTCACTGCAACCTCCACCTCCTGGGTTCAAGCGATTCTCCTGCCTCAGCCTCCTGAGTAGCTATTACAGGCACGCACCACCACGCCCGGCTAATTTTTGTATTTTTAATAGAGATGGGGTTTCACCACGCTGGTCAGGCTGGACTCAAACTCCTGACCTCATGATCCGCCCGCCTTGGCCTCCCAAAGTGCTAGGGTTACAGGCATGAGCCACTGCGCCCGGCCAGAAACATTTCTTAAAGCCTTCTCCTTCTTAACTTGCGTTGGCAAATCTTTCTGTAAAAGGCCAGGAAACATTTTAGGCTGTGTGGGCCATGAGGCAAAACTGAGTTACGGCTGCATCGGTGTGATCTGTAGTGCGCCAGAGGCAGTGACAAGCAGTGAGAGCATCCCATATGGTCTCTGTCACAACTAATCCACTCTGCTGCTGTAGTGCAAAAGCAGCCAGAGATAATCCGAAAGCCAATGGGCGTGCCTGTGTTCCAATAAAACTTTATTTATGGACTGAAATTTGAATTTGTTATAATTTTCATGGGCCGTGAAGTATTATTCTTCTTTTGATTTGTTTTCAACTTTTTTTTTTTTTTGGGAGATGGAATCTTGCTCTGTTGCCCAGGCTGAAGTGCAGTGGTGTGATCTCGGCTCACTGCAGCCTCTACCTCCTGGGTTCAAATGATTTTCATGCCTCAGCTTCCCAAGTAGTTGGGACTATAGGCACCCGCCACCACAGCCGGCTAATTTTTGTATTTTTAGTAGAGATAGGGTTTTGCCATGTTGGCCAGGCTGGTCTCCAACTCCTGGCCTCAAGTGATCCACCCTCCTTGGCCTCCCAAAGTGCTGGGATTACAGGCTTGAGCCACTGTGCCCAGCCAGCCATGTGACTATTTGGGGGAAAATAATTTGAGGCTGAGGGGGACTGCAGATGTACATAACCCTGAGTAGAGGAGTGTGTTTGATAAACCTGGGAGAGCCAGAATATTCCAGAATGGTTAGAGTGGCAAGTAGGGGGAGAGGGGTTGGGGGTGTGCCGGGGAAGGAGATAGAACCTGGGGAGATGGGTCATTTTCTAAATGCAGTGGAAAAGCCTTTGGTTTGATTGAAGTGGGTGGCATCTTCGGATGCGTTCTGGAAAGCTCTTCTAGACTGCAGGGTGGAGAATGGATTTGAAGAAAACAGGGAGGGGAGGCAAGGAGACCAGTTGGGAAGCTCAGAGCAGGGTGGTGGAAGTGGAGATGGTGAGAGGTGTGTGGATTTGGAATGTATGTTGCAGCTAGTGTCAACAGGTCTTGCTGGTGTGTTGATCGGAGGGAGTAAGGGAACCTCAGGGGGTCTCACTTCTTGCAGGTCACTTGTAATGCACTTTTTCCCTTTTGTATTTTCCCCATCTGTCCATCCTTTATTCTGCCACTAGAAATCTCTTCCCAAAAAAAAGGAGGTAAAAGGCAAATACAAATTTGGAAAAAGTTCCTTAATGTAGAAAGTGCTTTTATAAATTAAAACAACAAAACCCAAAACAAAGAGGAACATATCAGTATAAGAATGGGCAAGGAACTTGGATAGACACTTCATAATAAAACATATACAGGCTGGGCATGGTGGCTCATGCCTATAATCCCAGCACTTTGGGAGGTTAAGGTGGGCAGATTGTTTGAGCCCAGGAGTTCAAGACCAGCCTGGGCAACATGGGGAAACCCAAATTTTTTCTCTATAAATACAAAAAAATTAGCTGGGTGTGATGGTTCATGCCTGTAGCCCCAGCTACTCAGGAGGCTCAGGTGGGAGGATCGCTTGAACCCGGGAGGTCAAAGCTGCAGTGAGCCAAGACTGCACCACTGCACTCTAGCCTGAGTGAAAGCGTGAGACTCTGTCTCTTAAAACAAATGAACACACACACACACAAAACCATATAAAAAGTCCTCAACTATTTAGTCTCGCCAGTGATTGAATAATTGCAAATTTAATTAAAAAACAGCTTGAAGACAGAAATATGTAAAAAAAAAATGGTATTGGCAGGGTGTAAGGAAATGGTCCTGAGCTTCCTGAAGGACCATTTGGCACTGTACAATTCCACTTCTAGAAATTTCTTCTCAGGGAGCATCTGATATATCAGGCAAGCTGTAAATATCAGCGTATATTACATCACAGCCTCTGATAGCACAAGATGAACAACAACCTCAATGTACACCAGAAGGAACTAGTTAAAATCAGGTTTACCTGCGCTTAGCAGGTCAGAACATGCGGAAGGGGTTCAGTAACTATATTGAAATGGATTTTTTTTTTTTCTTGAGGTGGAGTCTTGCTCTGTCACCCAGGCTGGAGTGCAGTGGCGCGATCTCGGCTCACTGCAGCCTCTGTCTCCTGGGTGCAAGTAATTCCCCTGCCTCCGCCTCCCGAGTAGCTGGGATTACAGGTGCCCACCACCATGCCTGGCTAATTTTTCCATTTTT